>NC_000010.11:85446125-85597640 GCF_000001405.40 Homo sapiens
CACTTTATTCTCACTCTTCTTCATTGGCTAGAGCTAGTCATTGAACCCCACCTAACTGCAAGGGCACTGGAAAATGTTTTCTTCCTAGAGAGCAGAGCCACAACCCAGTGAACACTGGCTGTGTCTTATGAAGTTTTGGGAAAACGTGACTAGTGGGATTTGTTGGATCATGGTTATATGTTGTGTGCATACCAGGACAGTGTGTGCTTAATACATGTTTTAGAATCTTTTTTTGTCCATGCTTTCTGCAAACCAATTTACCCTGATAATTAGGAAAGGGTCATATATGTTTGTATAAGAAATGAGCAGCCGAGTGTGGTGGGTGGCTCACGCCTGTAATCCCAACACTTTGGGAGGCCAGAGGCGGTTGGATCACCTGAGGTCAGGAGTTTGAGACCAGCCTGGCCAACATGGTGAAACCCTATCTCTACTAAAAATAGAAAAATTAGCCAGGTGTGGTGGCACATGCCTGTAGTCCCAGCTACTCAGGAGGATGAGGCAGGAGAATCGTTTGAACCTGGGAGGCGGAGGTTGCAGTGAACTATCATGCCACTGCACTCCAGCCTGGGCGACAGAGTGAGACTCTGTCTCAAAAAAAAAAAAAAAAAAAAAAAGAAAGAAAGAAAGAAATTAGCAAAAACTAAATATTCTCTTTCATGTTCACAGACCCTCCAAAATCAAGAAAATATTTCAAGGAAATGACACGTGGAGAGGACATGCAGGACAAGTGATGAGAATAATCTTGTTCTGAAAAACCCTTGTTCTGAAGACAAGCTTGCTAAATGCTTGGAAACCTGGTTTCCAAACAGCACCTCTGACTGATGTCTGGAAATCATCCTACCCTCTCTGAATCTTGCAATAGGCTTCTCCAACTGACATCTTTCACTGCATCATGAGGTAGTAGCTCCTCTGAGTCACTTCCCAGCTGGGACTGGGTTTGCTCAGCCCAGCCACTCTGCCTCTCCCACCCCTCCTGCAGCACCACCATTACCCACTTTTTTTTTTTTTCTGGTTTCTGTAGAGCAGCCTGGTCCCTCATAGACTCGAATTCTCTCACCACCAAGACACTGGGCTAAGCAAGCTCTCTCCTGGCCTGCAGCACCTTGGTATTCTCAGCCTCACACTTGAGGGCATTTTTATTCTTTTCTTTGCAGTCATTTTGTCTTTTCACTGGAACTTATCTTCCCTGCTTCTCAAGTCAAGAGTGGTACCATAAGAAAACCATGCCTTGTTTCTGCCAGCCTCAGCTCTAAGCAACTCCCACCTGAACCGCTGCAAGAACCTCCCAACCATCCCCTCCACACCTAGGCATGCACTTTCTAATCTATTTTCTATACCTCAGCTACAACCAAAGCCACAGAACACAGCAGCTAAAGGTGCAGCCTTCAGAATCACCCCAAGTTCTAGCTATTTCGCTTCTTTCAGCCTTCCTATCTGCAAAGTAGGGATGATCATTAGATTTACCTTGTTCAATGGTTGTGATTGCTAAATGCAACAATGTGCAGGGTACTCAGCAAAGTTGCTACCACAGTGCAAGTGCTCCATATATTTTACCTATCATTATCATCATCTTCAACATCATTACCATTGCAGACCCCATGTGCTTAGAATTGGCCCAGCTTCTCCTGGCAACTGGACAGAGAACAGCATGAACCACCATGGCTTCTTGCACCACACTTCGAAAAAGGAAATATTATTGCTCCAAGATCCTGCCCACAAGACCCACACTGGCATGTCAGTGAGACTGTGATCATCATTGTGGGCACCATCATAGTTGCATAACAACAATTGGCCATTGGATTGCACAATATGGCACAGAGAGCCACCTCTAGGGAGTCTGAAACCCCATGTCCATGATTGAAGGTGATTTTGAGATGTGGGAAGAGCAAGCAGGTATCAATGATGAAATCTAGGTGCTCAGAAACAGGGCAGGCAAAACAATTGCATGAACCCACAAACCTCCACAGTGTCTGTAATGTGTAGTCCACTTTTGTGGCACTACATTTTATCTCAGAGATACAACTAATCTCAGTCTCTTTATCTGCCAAGTTTCCTGAATCCTTCTTTCCAGGATGAATAAATTTCCTGGCAAAACAAGACCCAGGGGAAAGTTTTGAATCCATATAATAATATATCACTGCATTTGTCACGAACTCTTGATTCAACAGAACTGATTTTGTGCGCTTAGTCCTTGCCCTGGGGATAGAACATGAACAAGAGAGAAAGGGGCCTGCTCTCATGGTCTTATCCTTTAGCAAGAGAGATAATAAACAGGTAAAGACATAAATAAATAATAGACCTTCGGAGGATGGTAAGATCTACAGATAAAAATATAACAGGGTAATGAGCTAGAGAAGGTTAGAGAAAGGGAGGATTGCTGGGAAGATGGAAGGGGCTGCATGTGGCCACTGGGAAGATGTAAACATTTGTAACCAGGTCTGTTGTGCATGGAACAAGGACACACAAACAGGGTAGTATGGAGAAAGGACAAAGTGACATGTGCTGGCACCAAGAAGGAGCTCCAGAAATGATGGGTGTTATGTTAGAATCTACTGGGTGTCATCAAGGGTGACCCAGGTACAGATCCTCTGGACTCGGGGGGAAAAAGAGCCAGACAATTAGACAAATTGGAGGCACCCCTTCCCAGGAGACGGCCCTTTTGAGCAAGCTGCCAGTGACTGTCCCCTACATTCAGAGATGCTGCTGCCTGAGCTGCCAGGTTTCAAATGCAAAGGGCTGGCTGGGAATCAAGAGGCCCTTCTTCTCACGTTAAAGCGTAGCAGTCTGTTCTGTTCTCCTGTCATGTCATAAATAAAGGAGCCTTGATCTCATAAAATGGGCATCTCTGGCTTTGTTGTAAGTGAAGTGCCTGAGGACAGATGATTGTAGCTGCACAGGATAACTGAACATAGAGGAATGCGACCACCTCAGTGTACCAGGGAGTGCTCTAGAGAGGAGTAGCCAGCAGCCTCCAGGGTGCTCCAGAAACCTACATGAAAACGACCAGGCCAGAACATCTGGTGAGGTCAGAGCTGAGTCCATGCACCTCAGAGCTTTTGTTCTTCCTGACTAATTGTGCTCCTGCTGGTGTCACAGATCAGAGAAGAGGTGCCAGGGACATGGGGTACAGGAAGCACAGGTTAACTAGAGCACATTCGCACACAAGCACAAGAAAAGCAATTAGGAAAGGCCAGCAGGCGATCCACCTGGCCTTCAGCCTCTTCTCTCGGTGTCTTCCCAGGGTCTGGGAAAGGTTTGCCTGTTTCCTGTGAACTGAATCACAGGCAGCTCTAAAGGCAGGGAGACCCCTGAAATGCCTGACTGAGATTCTGGGAGGAGATTCTTAAAAGTGAGTGTCAGCATTAATAGCTCAGTGTGATTCTCTTCTCAGGAAAATGTTCACAAATTTCATTTTGCTCTCAAAAGGACCGATGGCCCCCAAAAACCTTCAGAGACAGAGCTCTTACGACTTTACTGTGCCAGATGTCATCCCAAGTCCAGAAACCATGTCTCAGGGGAGGAATCTTTTTACTGAAGGGGCATGAAGAGGGGAAAGAACACTGGCCCTGGGTCCAGCATTGTATCAGCTGCTTCACATCCAGCATCTAATGCAGTTGCCCCATCTAATGCTCAAGCTGTAACGCTACCTTAGTTTCTCCAATTAACAGATGAGAGGGCCAAAGCTCCAAGTAGTTGGGCAGGTTGCCCAGGATGGATGCATACGTAGAAGATAGAACAACCCAGAGTGGTGTGATTCCAAACCATGCTTTCTCCATTGCATCACAGTGATCTTTAAGATCACCAGCAGAGTGGACTGGGACTTCAGGGTAAGATCACATCAAGATATCAAGTCCAGAGAGGCCAACCCCACACCGTTCACATGATCTCTGAAACAATTTTCAAGAACAGCACTGTGAATTCAACTCGACACTCTTCCATCAAGCAAGGACGGAAAACTCCAAATGACTGCAAGACAAGAGCTCCCAGGAAACACAGAATTCCAGAGCAGATTCTTCTTTTGAAGTTTCTGTGAATAAAATCTCATAATCAGGTGGGGCTTTGAGCTGCCCTCTCCTTAAAGGTAACTTCCAGCCCTGTGGTTCTAGATTGGGTTCCGACTCAGTGTGGGGATTTTTTTTTTTTTTTTTTTTTTTTTTTTTGAGATGGAATCTCACCCTGTCGCCCAGGCTGGAGTGCAGTGGCGCGAACTTGGCTCACTGCAAGCTCCGCCTCCCAGGTTCATGCTAGTCTCCTGTCTCAGCCTCCTGAGTAACTGGGACTACAGGTGCCCGCCACAATGCTCGGCTAATTTTTGTATTTTTAGTGGAGACAGGGTTTCACCATGTTAGCCAGGATGGTCTTGATCTCCTGACCTCATAATCTGCCCGCCTTGGCCTCCCAAAGTGCTGGGATTACAGGCGTGAGCCACCACACCTGGCCAGTGTGGGGGTTTTTTAAACATGTAAGTGCCTGGGTGGGTCAGTGAATAACATTCCTGCTGGCATAAGATTCTAGCAAAATTAAGACCTTTAAGAGTATAGCTTTTATCTCATTCAAATCCCATTTTCACAGATAGGAGAACTGGGGCAGAACTGGCAAACAACCTATCCAATGTTGTACCGTTTTTGGTGCCTGGAGTTGGCCAAGCTGGAAGTCAGATCTAGCTTTGACTTGTTCAGTGGGAAGGACTTCTTCCTTTTTGCATGCCTTACTTTCTCATACCATTTCCTGGCTCTGAGGGAAAGCTAGAGTGTCTTGTTTCACAGTTCAGTGTTATCTCTGCACTTACAACAAAGTACTGTGGAAAGAGCATGGCCTGGAAGTCCCAACAGTCTGGAATGAAGTTTTCTCTGCCAAGGCTGTCCACTGATCCGACCCTCAGTCTCTTCCTATGGTAATGGGAAAAAACAATGTCTATGATATAGGGTAGTTGTAAGGAGACAATGAGATCAAGCACACAGAGCACTTAATAGGTCCTCAATGGATGTTAGGTATCTCTTATAATATTCCAACATCAATTGTGACTGCAGCTCAGCCGGCAGGGCCAGCTTATAGTTTGTGACACTGCACTGCTGGCCCCAAGTGGAATTCCTTGCCCTTGGGCTGGTCACGTGCTCTTCCCTTGCCAGTTGCTCTTTAAGAGGAACCAATTTCGCACTTCCAGATAGATCCACACTCCAAATTGTGTTTGTTTTAAAATAATGAATAGTGGCATTATTATCCTCACTGCTCTCTGGGGAACTCTGTGCCAAATGTACGTCTTTTGCATTAGTAGAGCTTCACTGCAGCAGATAAATGGGCCAGCGCCTGAGCTCAAATGCACGGAAGCAAGGAAGACCCACCCCGCCTGTCTCCCACCTCTCTCGGTGAAACCTTCCCAGATGGCTGCCAGAAAGGCTTCAGATTCTTGGGGAAGCAGTCAAATGTTTCAGCAGCCATTTGACAAGTCTGTCATCCTCCTGCCTCTCCCTGACTCTCAGATGATGTCCATAGAGAATGGAGCTGTTGAGGAAGCCAGAAAGGAACTGAGGAAGTGACAAATAGATTCTTGTATAAAACAAACCAACAAAAATTTTATGGGTGCATTGAATGCCAGGTAAGCTCAAGATGCTCAAATGAGATATGGTTATTTCCAGTGATGTCAGCAATGAAATCCCTGATCAGAGCAATCATAAGCCAGGGGAGTCCTGGTTCAGCCAAGTTGCTTTTCCTTTTGTGATCTGGAACAAGATGCTACATCTCTTTGTTCTCTTGATAGTGAGGAATACATGAGGCTCACCATGAGACTTCTGTTGCTTTTTATTATTATCATTTATTTGCTTTTTTTTTTTTTTTTTTTTAGATGGAGTCTTGCTCTGTCGCCAGGCTGGAGTGCAGTGGTGCAATCTCAGCTCACTGCAACCTCCACCTCCCAGGTTCAAGTGATTCTCCTGCCTCAGCCTCCCGAGTAGCTGGGACTATAAGCACGCACAACCATACCCAGCTAATTTTTGTATTTTTAGTAGAGGCAGGGTTTCCCCATGTTGACCAAGATGATCTCAATCCCTTGACCTCGTGACCCACCCGCCTCAGCCTCCCAAAGTGCAGGCGTGAGCCACCGCACCCGGCCTTCTGTTGCTTTTAAGAGAGGAAATAGAGGCTCTTCTTCTTGCTTCCTAGTCCTTCCCCTTGGGTGGGTGAAGGTGAGAATCATCTACCATTAGTCTGGTAGGACAGGCCTGCCCAGTATGTGTGGTCCTATGCTGAGTTCAGGTCTCTGTGTTGAATGCCATCTTCCCTGCCACACTGAAAAGGAAGATTTGGCTGGGACAGGTCTGAGCCCATCATAAGGGTGGCAAAACAGAAAATCCATTCAGTTAATGCTTCTGATGATACAGAGGCTTCCAATGCACACTTTTTGACCCACACATTTATGTTCAGTACAATTACACACAGTCATAGAGCTAACTTGGCTGGCTGAAGGAAGAAGACACCCATCACACAACTTTAAATGTGAGAGAAGTCAAAGCTTTTTATACAAAAATACCTTCTCCATTCCCACACTAAGCCTCCTGGAGCACCATCTTGTAATATTGGCTACATGAGGTTTTTTGTTTTGTTTTGTTTCTTTAATTCTGGGATTATATTTTACAATTTTATCTTTGCCTTATATTTGTTAAAGACACTAATTTGTTTAAAGTAAGCATGTAATGTCTATAAATTCTATGACCCTCTTTTCAATTTCTTTGTGTTTTTGATGTATCAGGAGACTCAAAAATAGAAGTGCCTTGGATCTCTGTCAACCTCTAAGGGGTCCCATGGGAGTGTGCCTCTCCTCCTTCCTCTCAATTGCATTCCCCAGCATCTGTCTCCTGTGAGAGATGCTTCCCATCTCTGGCATTCTACTCTACTTCATCCTGTGTGTGACCGCCCCAGAACTGTGGAATGGAGTTCCAAGACACAGAGGTAGGTTTTCAGGTGGAGGTGGTAAGAGCAGGTGACCCGCCCAAGGTCAGGAATCTCCTTAAATTCTGACGAACATTCTGCACTTGTTCACCATAGTTGATCAGAGCTGTGCTAGGAATAAAGTGCTGCTTCGCTTGGCTTTTTGCTCTGCACACATATTTCCCGGGAGGCCCTTGCAGGGAAAGGTGACTTGTCAATGGCATCTACAGCGATTTGATTGTTCTTGGATCCCCTTGTCAAATATCACCAGAATATCAGCTGGAGATCTCCAAATAGCCCCACAGCCAGCATAGTGCCAACTATAACATGATCAACATTTTGCATCTATTCAAAATTCCCAATAAAAGGCCCACTCACCAAGCAGAGGGATTCTGAGGATGCAGAACAGAGCTTCTGCTGGTCTCTGCCTTAATTATCATCTGTCCCATGTCAGACATCAGTGCACAGAAACAGAGCTTCATCCACCTAATGAGACCCATGAGCCAGAAACTTTGGGCTGATGATGTGTCCTTGAGCCTCTTGCCTTTAATTTACTTTCCTTTACTTGTGGCTCCTGGGCTGTGAGACGCTTCTTGATGCCAGTGTCTTGACTCATACACTGAGATTATCTCTGCCTGAGCATCTCTCTCAAGTCTGTTCTGTTCTGCAATAGCTGGAGACTGAAGGTGAGGCAGGTTTCTCTAGTTTCTCAATCTCAGAAATGAGACATGACCCAGGTTCCCCCATGCAATCCTGAGCCGGGGGCTGGCAGAACCCCCAGTGCCAATTTGAATACAGGAGCCCAGAGTCCCTTCAGGACTGTTATCCACCCCTCCATTCTTGCTGAGAATCTCCCTCCCTTCAGCCATCCCGGACTCTAACACACAAGATTTAGATGAAATTTGAAGAGAGAAGTCAAAGCTTTTTATGTATAAATGCCTTCTCCATCCCCACACCAAGCCTCCAAGTCTCTCTGTGTTGTGCCATCTTTCTGGAGAGGCAGTGAAAGGGATACACTACTTCCACATTAGCCTACAATACCCACTAGTAGACCCTGTATACCAGTAGGAGTGATAACAACAGATTCCTCGAACTCGTTGCTCTCAAATACTAGCAAGCCTCAGAATCACAAGTGGGCCCTCCTCACTCAGAGATTCTGATTCCATATATTGGGGTTGGGCCTGAGAATCTGCATCTCTTAAAAGTTCCCAGGTATCCCTAATGCTGCTGGTCTAGGCTCATGTGAAAACTACCACTGGAATTCACTTCAGGACAGCATTGCACTGCACATCGAAAGCCATCGAGGGCTAACCCATCTCTCTCCATTTCAGACTACTTTCGTTGTGCTTCTTTCCAGAGACTTTGGCCTTTCACTGTAACAACTCCTCAGAAATGCTACTTACTTGCCCCAGTGCCATGACTTAGGACCTCTCTCAACTACTTTTCTCTTCCCTATAAATAACACCAGCATGGTCTGCAGAGCCAAAGTGGAATGGGCAGCTTTATGTGCCAGGCTGAGGGAGTGCTCTTTCTGGGGAGTTGCTTAACCACAGTCTGTCTCAGCCAAGAGCTGGGATTCCACTTCCCCAGAGATCTAGTTGTTTCATTCACTCAGCAGCCTCTTGCCTTGTCTAGTCTTATTTCCCAGAGAAGCTCCCTTTTCTGGACTGCCAATCAAATATTGCCATGTTCTCTCAATCCCAGAAAGAATCAAAATAGCCTTTGGGGAATTTCATCCATATAGGAAAACAGTGAAGTTTGGGCAAAAAAGAGATTATGTGACCCAAGTATATTATCCTGCCACTAGTAGTAGACATCTCTGAGTTCCAACAGCTATAGGAGAAAGAAGGACTCAGCCATGGGTTTGATTCCATTTGATTCCACCATCATTTACTAAGCAATCTCCATGTGCTGACAACTGTGGCATTCTAGAGATGCCTTCTAACTGTTGCCCAAGAAGTTCATAAGAAGGACAATACTGACAGCTCCCAGTACCATTACTGCAGGGCTCAGCAGCATCAGAAATTGCTTGCACATAGCCCACCCACCCTTACCATCAAAAGAGTTTGCTGGGTTCTACGTGCCAGACCCTGCATTAGGATACCCTCCAGTCTCCTAATGGGGCTTCGTATTGGACAAACTCAAACCGAAGCCAGGCAGCAAAGGAACCCATCAATACAATCCATATAGTTGAGCCCCTAGCCTCACAGAGCAGGGTGAAGAAGGGTTGGAAATAGGGTGAGAGAGGCAAATGGAAGATGCCCAGCGCATTTTCCAAAGAGTGAAACTGCATTTGAGAGAAAGGGGGCCCTGTGGGCAGGCATTTAACCCCGGATGGGAAGGTGGGGAGGGGTGGCTAACACAAAAAAATTCAGAAAACCCTAAAAATGGCTACGAACTGAATATCCCTAATATGCTTTCAAACTAAAGAAGTTCTGGCTACAAACTTGAAAGCTCATAAGGCACAAAATGACTCAACTCTTATTATGGGAGGAACTTGACTTTCATATTCAATATCGAAAAATAGAAGAGGGGCACATTAATTGAGAAGATAGACAGGGGATCTCATAAGGGTTTAGAAGGGTATTAGCATTTTCTTTGAGTCTAGAAGAAAAGGGAAGCAATTCAATAGAAAAAAGGTCATATGTAGGATAATCTGAATAAAGGCATGAAATCAGAAAAATAAGAGTGTATTCAAGTATTGATGAATTTCCAGGAACAGGGCAATGCACAGTATGCTGGCAGGAAAATGTGGTCAGATTCATATGAAAAAGTAGACTGGTGCCAAATCAGAAATACTTTGGAATGGCAGACAAAGAACAGACTGCTACGTATGCAGCCGGGCATGTTCGAAAGGAGAGTAGCTTGCTCAGTCCAAGATGCGCGTGGCACTAACCTGCCAGGTAATTCAGCTGCAGGACGGATTAGAGGACACTGAGGGCAGATGGAGAAGGCCAGTCAAGAGGCACACAGTAAAGATGGAAAATGGCTATGGACAGTGGGAGGGGGAGAAAGGAGTAGCTGCAAAATATGTTATAAGCTTAGCAACAAACACATGGACATCTAGACATCACGGTGAGTGGAGAGGGAGAACCAAGTGTGCCTCTGAAATTTCTCCACTATCTTCCTATGAAGATGTTTCTGCCATTCACCATGATTATTTGGGATGAGGCTGGGGGGTAATTCAGTTGTAGAAGTTACTGTAGGACATCCAAGTTTCAATGCTATATCTGGTAGCTGAGAGTATAGATCTGATGTGGGAAACTACAATGAGGTGCTGGGTTTTAAAACAGGGTGAAAATTGAGGCAAGAATTAGAGTCAGGGACCATTTAAGAAAAGAGATTTGCCTTGCCCAAAGTTGAGCTAGGAAGATGGGAGCTGGGAGCTGTCTGGCTTTTGCCACCATATTGTCAACCATGATCCCCTAGGTTTACTCCACCCCAGCCACACTGGACAGCATGCTGCCCCTACACATCACTCCTTCTCACTGCAGACATGTCACTCTTTCCTGCCACAGTGCCCTCATACTTGCTACTCACTCTGCCTGGAATATTCTCTTCTAAACATTGTCATACCACTTGCTCTATAACTTTAGGTGTCTGATCAAATGTCACCTCTCCAGTAAGGCCGTTTAAGACCAGTCTTTCTATAATAGGTCCTTTCCTCCAAAACACTCTTGAGCCCCTCACTCTGGTGTATATTTTATCAAAACACTTCTCACTAGTTGAAATCAAACTACACATATATAATGTGTGTGTGTGTGTGTGTGTGTGTAAAGGTCCAGGAAGGCAGGAACTTAATGCATTTCTGTGCCCCTAGAGCCTAAAAAAAAAATCTAGCATAGAAAAGGTATTTCTCAATAAATGTCTATTGAATGAATGTGTCAACTGCAGAATGATGAGGTTTATAAATTTGGAAAGGAGAGCTTTATTTCTCATAAAGCTTTGCAGCCTGCAGGGTGGCCTTTCTGACAACCTGTGTAGCACAGCTTCTGGTAGGAAGCCAGAAACAGATACTTAAAGGGAGGGACAGGGGAAGCGGGAATGCATGCTGAACGGGGTGGCTGAATATGCATATTTAATAAGCTATAGAAGGAGTTATTAGTATTCATGAAAGGAGAAACGTGCCCATGTTCAATTGAACTTTATGCCTCTTAATGGGACCCCTATACAAAAAATGGTGTTAGCATGATCTGAGGGTGGAGTTGTCAGTCCTCTAATGTCAAAAGATGAAACAGAGGACAAAAAAACCCTCACTACATATTCTTAGTGGACTAGCCAGAACAACTCCGTGGTGGGTGGTCTCTTATCAGACAAAACAGGAGGGGCAGTGTCAGGCAATTAATTGAAATCAGTAGGGAAGTCTTCTGAATGGGCTGGTCTCTGTTATGCCCTTAGGGAAGAAAGCCTAATCGTGGTTAGTGAAGGAGGGGAGATAATAAGGTGTCAAACATCCTTATCCCTTCATGGCTGAGAACTCAGTTTTCAAGGTTACTCTGTGGTTCCCTTGGCCAAGAGATGGTCTGTTCATTCAGTTGGGGGCTTAGAATTTTATTTTCAGTTTATAAATTAATAAATAAATGAATGAGGTGTGAGATACAGTAATGCTATAGAAATGTTGTGAAGGCAGGATTCCAGGAAACATGAGCTACAGAGGAAGAGCTATTATGGATAAGGTGGCATTTGGGGTGATTCTCAGAAACAGGGATGAATATCCCATTTGCACAGGGAAAAAAAGTATGGAGTTTGGCAAATGTGTGGGCCCTTCATAGAAAATAAAAGGCACATGTCAATGTGTACAGACATTTTATTCCTGAATGGCCTACTTCTACTTCATTGTGGTCAAAACGGGCCTGTCATTTCTGAAAGCAGGGGCCTATGGCTGAGGACATAGTTCTGGGGTCAGGCCAGCTTGTGCTTCATAGCCACACTCTGCCACTTACCAAACTTTGCAAATCAATTACCCTCTCTGACCCTAGTTTACTTCCTCAAGTAATTAAGATGATAAATCTAGTTTCCAGCATTGCCCTAAATGTGCAAACTAGAAAACATATGTAAATCACCAGGACTTAGAATGTGCTCAAGAAAACTCAGTTATTTCCTTGACCCCAGCTTTCCTAACTGGCCTAGACTAGGACTAGGTTTTTTTTTTGTTTTTTGTTTTTTGGAAATTGTGCTGACATTATTTTATTCTCAGTAATTTCTTGAAACTTCAGGGTTAGATCTAAAGATTAGTATTGTCTCCGTCAGCTGCCCCAGGGTGACGGCTGTGTTTTAATGGAGTCACATTTCTCCACAGAGTGCCCTGAGGGGCTATAACTTGGGGCCGTCATCAGCCCTGGCAGCTCCTTGTGACCTTGGGTAGAAAGGAGGACATGAGGTTCCCTTGGGCCAGCCCCGTACACAGGGAATCAGATGACAGGAGGCCAGCCTGGCTTTGCTTCCTGCCAGCAAGTCTGCCTCCAGCATCCATCCTCTCCCCACAGACCAAATGTGCGGCAGTGGGAAAATGTTCCCACAGAACCATGCAGGCCCTTGGGCAAAAAGCTGATCCCATTACCCATCAGTCTTCATTATAATGAGAAATTAGAGCTGGGAAGGTCCCACAGGGTGCCTGGAACTGCCTCCTTTCCTTTGCTGCAAAGGGTCACTCCCACAATCAGCCTGCAGCAACCGCTTCTCAGAGAATAACAGATATTTTCATGAAAAAGTCCATTTAAAGGAATCCAGCTCCAGTCCCCTTCCTTGGTTTCCTCTATCACTTTCTGCTATTTAATTGAGTCACTTGAAAGAGACCAATGCAAACACCAGTATCACTTCTAGTTGTGAGGTCAGACAACTAGCCCCCACCATAGAACTCAGGAAAATGCATATCCAAATTGCTGGTCCCCTCGGAGAATTTGACCCTCTAATATGGCAGAAACTCCTTCTATCTCTTACCTTTCTGAGCACTGGAGAAAATCAACGACTGTTCTCTAAGTGGGGTTCAGAATCGCTGGAGAACTTGGTAGAAATGCAAATTCTTGGACCCTAGTCTAACCTACTGGATCCAAAGTTCTGAGGGAGAAGTTGAGCCATCTGTGTTTTTGCAAGCCTTCCAGTTGACACTTCTGCACACTCAGAACCACTAGTCTAGAAATCTCGGCTCTTTGCAAAGACAGTAGTACTCTAGGAGATGCCTGGTATGGGGACAGAAGAAAAGAGGGAAAGGTTCATAGAGAAGGATGAGACCTGTCCTCAGTGGCTGAGAACTGGCAGACCCAAGACAGGCCAGCTCAAGAGGTCTCTGAAGCCCACTTGTTGCAGGTCTACCCAGAATGACCTCAGAAAGGAGGTGACTCTGGCAACCTTGGTCTAAGTCACAGCGAATTTCTTGACATTCTGGTGGTCCTAACTTTCAGGGTGGTAATTCATGATTCAATATCACCCTTGTGATGATCTTCATTAACACAGAAGCTAGAAAGAAATTATTTAGGCAGATAGTGAGGGTAAGAGAGTCCTTGATAAGATTTCCTTTTAATAAAAAGCAGCCCCCAAATCGTTTCTTTTGTAACAAAAAGCAGCCTGAGAAATCAAGCTGCAAGCATAAATAAGCAAGCAAAAATGCCGGCAGCTGTGCCAATAGAAAAGGGATATATGGAAGCCAGGTTTATTCAACATGAGGTTCCCTCATTCTTTTTCTTTGTCACCGTGTGTGGTAAAAAAGCAGACAACATGGCGCCGGCCAGGTAGTGACCCTATCTGCATAATACAAGATTAGGCTGGGATGGCCAGCTTCTTCACACGCTATGCAAACAGCACACCTGGTCCAACCAATCTTTTGGGCCCTGTGTAAATCAGACACTGCCTCCTCAAGCTCGTCTATGAAACCCCATGCATTTCACCACAAAACCGGAAGACCCACTCGGGATCCCCTCTCTCTCTCGGGAGAGAGAATTTTTCTCTTCTCTTTTCTCTCGCCTATTAAACCTCCACTCTTAAACTCACTTCTTGTGTGTCTGCATCCTCGATTTCCTTTGCGTGAGACGACGAACCTCAAATATTTACCACAGACAATGATGCCACTTCATCATGTTCCCAGCGCTGCACTACCAGATGATGGGAGGGGGCAGTGGAAAGTCCTAACTATCCCAGCCCTGACATTTACTTGGGCTTTCCCTTTGATTGTTTTAAGCTCTTTCTGCCTACATTTTCTTTGGTCTTAGCTCAGTCAAGACACTAAAGTATCTTAATCTCTCCTTTTACCTGTTCTATACGTTCTCTTCCTTTTTCAGAAGAAGAAAACAAAAATTAATATTTATTTAATATCTATAGATACTTTGCATTTTACTAAGCCAATGAAATACATCCCATTTAATGCCCAGATAACCCTGTTAGGCAGGCATAATTATTCGATTATGTTTAAATGAAGTAACTGAGGTTCCAGGAAGTCATTATTTGAATAAGGAGCCTGCCTAGTATGAGATGGAACTGTGTGTGACTCTACTTCCCTCTCCAAGTCTTTCCCTTAAGCACGAGCTTCTTTTTTATATTGGGAAATTTACTGTGTACACAAGGGTAAATAAATAAATCATGTAAGTTCACTGCATTAAACAAGACTAATTTATTTTGCAATAACAAATGTCTACATCTCACTAGCTTAGCACATAAATTATAGTTTTTCACTTACATGAAGTTCACTACAGGTCCAGAGGTTCTCCAGGGCACTCCCTTTCAGCAGAGACCCAAGAGGTCCAGGCTGTCTCCATCTTCTGTTTCAGTCAACATGACAGGGAAAAGATCTCAGGGAGATCATATGATAGTTTTTACCATCTCCGTCTGGGAGTGATGCTCCTCACGTCCCTTCACATTTTATTGACTAGAACTGAAGTTATGGGTTCCCCTAAAGGCAAGCAGGCTGGAAATGTGGAACTCTACGTACCCTGCAAGAGAACAAGTTTTAGTGAACACAGAGCATATATTCTGGCAAGCATGGCTTAAAGAAAATAGTAAAATCAATATACATATACCTACCACTCAGCTTGACAAATTCTACAGTATCAGAGAAGCCCATATGTGCCTTACCCATTGCACCACCCTCTCATAGCAAAGTTCTGTCTTAAATTTTGTGTTAACCATTCCATTCCTCCTTTGTAAATAGAACCGAACACTTGCTTGTATTTTTTTTTAAAAATATGTACAGAGTTCCTGTTCTTGAACTTTATATAAACAGAATCATAATGTATATATTTTTCTTTGGCTCAATATTATGTTTTTGAGATTTATTCACACTGCAACATGTAACTTTAGTTCATTTATTTTCACTAATGCCCAGTATTTTATTGAGTGAATGTACCAACATTTTCTATTCTACTGTTTATGTAAAATAGAAACTCCATTTGTTTGCTAATATGAATAATGTTGCTCTGAATATTTGTGTAAGTATCTTCTCACGAACTTTCTCAAGAGCATTTTAGGGCATATACTGATGGAATAAATTGCTAAGTTATAAGATATTCTCATTTTAAGTTTCACTACAAAATGACAGACTGTTTATCCATAAACAGAATTGGACAATAAGCAGTGTTGATGAGGATGTACAGCAACAGAGACTCTCATCTTCCTAAGTTCAGTGGGAGCAAATGTTGGTAAAATCACTTTGGAAAACAGTGAGTAAATGAGTCCCATGTTCAGAAACAATGTTGTTTGGGACAAAAGGATAATATTCTGTAAGTTTTTCATTGGTGATGCTGGCAGAAACGTTAAGATATTAAGGCAATTTCATATCCAAGGCAGAAGGCCCTCCAGTGAGCACAAACACATCCCCAATGGAAGTCCTTTCATGATGGAAGAGGTCATTGCAATCAACCTGCCACTAAGTAGCTGGTTGATTCCCCTGTAGAGTGTGACTGTATTGGGGGTACAATGTTGTTCTCTATCATTGGCTGGTAGACACACACACACAAAGTTGTCTGGGTTGGTATTGGCCAGGGAGAACCTATGAGGTTTAGCCCATAAATATTGTTCATTCCTGCTGCTCTGGCTGCCACTTCAACTCTTGAGTTCCGTAAACAACTATTTTAGCGGCTAAGGAAAGATGTTGACTACATCCACAATTTTGTCATTTTGACAACCTGATTACTGAGGATTTCCCTAGTGTGGATTCTCTTTGGTGTGAATTCACACAAACAACTATCTTCCAATTAGGGCCAATTTTGTGAGATTCACACATACATCTCTTTTTCCAGAACTCCTTGTCACTAATTCTCAAATCTTGTCATTCCAAGTCACTGGTCATTAGACGTAACCGTTAGCCATTGCCCATGAATCAGCACACATGGATACCTCTATTTCTTCTCTTAATCAAAGTGAGCAAACAAATTTACTGACCATAGTCTTGCCCAGTGATAAAATATACTTTCCCCACTGCAATTGATGGCTACCCCGGATTGGGGCTATAAAATTGGCTCATGTAAGCATATTATCATACCCATCTATAAATCAAGACTAAAATATTTGGTCACAGGGAACTCTCCCCGTTAAGTGGAAAATGTGAGTTGAAAGAGTAGTGTCGATGCAACATAAGTGAATGCCATGAAAATCTTGTTTCATTCAGGATCTGCTTCAGCCTGATTTCACATAAACTATTTCCAGGTGCTAATCAAGTACTTCAGAACATCATAGCGGCCAAGTGCAGTGGCTCACGCCTGTAATCCCAACACTTTGGGAGGCTGAAGCAGAAGAATCACTTGAGCCCATGAGTTTGAGGCCAGCCTGGGCAACACAGTAAGACCCTGTCTCTATAAAAAATGAAAAATGAAATAAAAAAAGAAAAGCATAATCTGATTAAGGTTTTTGACCAGGTGTGATGGCTCATGCCTATAATACAAGCACTTGGGAAGGCCAAAGTAGAAGGATCACTTAAGCCTAGGAGTTCAAGACCAGCCTGGGCAACATAGTGCACCTGTGGTCCCAACTACTTGGGAGACTGAGGTGGGAGAATCACTTGAGCCCAGGAGTTTGAGACCAGCATGGGCAACATAGTACAACCCTATTGCTACAAAAAATCTAAAACTAAAAACTAAAAAAAGGTTTTAGCCCAAGTGCAATGGCTGACACCTGTAATTCCAGCCCTTTGGGAGGCTGAAGTGGGAGGATTACCTAAGCACAGCAGTTTGAGTCCAGCCTGGGCATAGTAAGATCTTGCCTCAAAAAAAAAAAAAAAAAAAAAGAGAAAGTAAAGAAAAGAATTGGGCATGGTGGCATGTACCAGTGGTCCCAACTACTTAGGAAACTGAGGCAGGAGAATCATTTGAATCACTTGAGCCCAGGAGATCAATGCTGCAGTGACACATGATCCTGCCACTGCACTCCAGCCTGAGCAACAAAGCAAGATTCCGTCTCAAAAAAAAAAAAATTGCAAGCATTACACTGTGATGGATTATATAGCAAGAGTCTCATTATCATATATACAATTACTACTAGGTTCCAGAAAAAACAAAACAAAACAAAAAAAAGAAACATTTTTTCCAAAGAAAAATACTTGATGAGTGACATGAGCAAAATGGTAAAGTTGGTAGCTACACGCTTTTTTGCCTCCACAGAAACATTGAAAACTAAGCAGAAACTGTAAGATCCACATTTGTTGGAGCTCTTAAAAAATAGTTAAAAGTTTACAGAAACTAAGCAAATGCTGAATAAACAAAGAGATAACTTCAAAATAGTAGAAAAACATCATAGTATTTTTACTTGACCTTGTAAACCCTCCCAGTTTAGAGGTGGTCTTGAAGACAACAACCTGCATTTCCAGGAGGGGACCCTGGTTTATGCTTCCAGAAGGAGCAAAGAAGACCTTTTTACGAGTTATTGTATTTGTATTCTAAAATTCCTGGGAGTTACCTGAAGAACTTATACAAGGCACTCATTTCTGTTTGGCCTAATTCAGAACTTACACAAGATAGAAAAGTCACAGGCAGTGCTAGAAAATGTAAAATGAAGGAAAGACTTGCAGTCACCTGAGATAAAGATTAAGACACAAAATTGAGACACATAGTAGATCACCTAAAGTCTGTAGGAAGATCTGGGGAGGAAGTTTTTTGGGAGATGGGGGGGATTAGGACAGCATTTCTGGACCTGCCCTGGGCTAGAGGGGGGCCCACTGCCATAAAGGATGAATCCCAGACCAGGCCTACAAACTGGCTTAAGAGACCTTGGGCCTTAAGGGGACATCAGTGGTAGTCTGTCTGGAAGTTCTCCTTGTGGGCCTGTGGTGGTGGTGGCCATGGGGTGAGCCTCCTCTGCATTTGGAAAGGAGAAGGAAGAGTGGGAAGGACTGCATCTTGTGGTCTGTGAACCAGCTCAGCTGCAGTACCATAGAACACCAGGTAGACTTGTAATGTTTTTGACTCTAGTTGCTGACTCCTGAATTGCACCTCTGGACACACCCATGACCTGGGGGAACCCATCACCCTCAAGGGAAATACACTGGCCTGGCTGGCTTTGCAACCTGCTGATTATAGAGCCCCAGGGCCTTGAGAGAAAATTGGCAGTAGCCAGAGAGTGGTTATAGCAGGCATTGGACAAGACCCAGTGCTGTGCCGGCTTTGGGTCTGACCCAGCACAGTCACAGTGGCAGTGACCACAGGGGCGCTTGTGTCACTCCATACTCAGCTTTAGTTGGCTGAGGAGAGGGAGAGAGAGAGAGAGAGATCTTTGTTTGGGAGAAAATAAGGGTTGAGGACAAGAGTTACTGCCTGGTAATCCAGAGAATTCTCCCAGATCTTGTCCAATACCATCAAGGTGACACCTCAAATAGTCTGTAAAAACTATAGTTTACTGGGCTTGGGGTACCCCCTAAAGTAGATACAGCTTAGATCACAACACCCAAGTTGTTTTGAATGTCTGGGAAGCCTTCCCAAGAAGGACAGGTACAATCTCCAACAGTGAAGACTAAAATAAATACCTAACTCTTGAATGCCCAGACACAGATGAACAACTACAAGTATCAAGACATTCCAGGAAATAAACTAAATAAGTCACCAGGGACCAATCTTGGAGAAACAGAGATATGTGACCTTTCAGACAGAATTTAAAATAGTTGTGTTGAGGCAACTCAAAGAAATTCAAGATAATACAGAGAAGAATTTCAGAATTCTATCAGAAAATTTTAACAAAGAGAATGACATAATTTAAAAGAATCGAGCAGAAATTCTGGAGCTGAAAAATGCAGTTGACATACTGAAGAACACATCGGAGTCCTTCCTTTAATACCAGAACTCATCAAGCAGAAGAAAGAATTAGTGACCTTGAAGACTGGCTGTTTAAAAATACACAGTCACAGGAGACAAAAGACAAAAGAATAAAAAACAATGAAGTATGCCTACAGGATCGAGAAAATGGCCTAAAAATGGCAAATCTAAGAGTGATTGGCCTTAAAGAAGAAGTAGAGAAGAAAATAGGGGTAGAAAGCTTATTCAGGGAGATAATAACAGAAAACATTCCAAACCTAGAGAAAAATACCAATATTGAAGAACAAGAAGGTTATAGAACATCAAGCTGATTTAACCCAAAGAAGACTAGCTCAAGTCATTTAATAATTAAAGGTCAAGGATAAAGAAAAAATCTTAAAAGCAGCAAGAGAAAAGAAACAAATAACATACAATGGATATTCAATACATCTGGCAGAAGACTCTTCAGTGAAAATCTTACAGGCCAGGAGACAGTGGCATGACATATTTAAGTGCTAAAGAAAAAAACTTGTATCCTAGAGTAGCATATCTGGCAAAAATATCTTTTAAACATGAAGGGGAAATAAAGACTTTACCAGACAAACAAAAGTTGAGGAACTTTATTCCCAGACCTGTCCTACAAGAAATGCTAAAAGGAGTACTTCAAGTAGGAAAAAAAGGACATTAATGAAGCAAAAAGTAATCATTTGAAGGTACAAAACTCAACAGTAATAGTAAATACCAGTGAGTATTATATTATAACACTGTAATTGTGGTGTGTAAACTTCTATTATCCTAAGTAGAATGTCCAAATGATGAACCAATTAAAAATACCACAACTTTTCAAGACATAGACAGTATAATAAGATCTAAACAGAAGCAAAAAATAAATAAATAAAAGTGGGAGTAAAATGCTTTAAAGCTTAGAGGCTTTATTAGTTTTCTTTTTGCTTCTTTGTTTATGTAAACAATGTTAAATAGTTTTCAGTTTAAAATAATTGGTTATAAGATAGTACTTGCAAGACTCATGGTCACCTGAAACCAAAAAGCATACAACAAATCTACAAAAAATAATAGGCAAGAAACTAAATCATATCACCAGAGAAAATTGCATTCACTAACGGAAGACAGGAAGGAATGAAAGAAGAAAGAGCATACCACAAAATACCCATAATACAAATATCAAAATGTCAGAAGCAAGTCCTTACTTACCAATAATAACATTGAATGTAAATGGACTAAAATCCCTGATAAAAAGACATAGATTGGGTGAATGGATGAAAAAACAGGACCCATTGATTTGTTATCTACAAGAAACACACTTCACCTATAAAGACACACATAGACTGTAAATAAAAAGATGAAAAAAAGATGTTCCATACCAATGGAAACCAAGAAAGAGCAGGAATAGCTACACTTAAATCAGACAAAATTAATTTCAAGGCAAAACCTATAAGAAGAGACTGTCACTTTATAACAGTAAAAGGGTAAATTCAGCAACGGGATACAACAATTTTAAATGTATATGCATCCAACACTGGAGTACCCAGATACATAAAGCAAATATTACTACAGCAAAAGAGATACATAGACCTCAATAAAATAAAAGCTGGATACTTTGACACCCCACTTTCAGCATTGTACAGAATCTTCTAGAGATAAAATCAACACAGAAACATCAAACTTCATTTGACTACAGACCAAATGGATCTAATAGATATTTACAGAACATTTCATCGAACAACTACAGAATACACAGTTTTTTCCTCAGTATATGGATCATTCTTAAGGATAGACCATATGTTACATCACAAAATAAGTCTTTAAATATTCAAAAAATTGAAATAATATCAAGCATCTTCTTTGATCACAGTGGAATAAAACTAGAAATCAGTAACAAAGGGAATTTTGGAAACTATACATACATGGAAATTAAACAATATGTCTCCGAATTACCAGTGGGAATGAAGAAATTAAAAAGAAAAGTTTCCTGAAACAAATTACAGTGGAAACACAACATACCAAATCCTGTGTGGTACATCCAAATCAGTACTAAGAGGGATATTTATAGCTATAAGTACCTACGTCAAAAAAGAGTAAATAATCTAATGATGCATCACAAAGAACTAAAAAAAGTAATAGCAAACCAAACCCAAAATTAGTAAAAGAAAAGAAGTAATATCTACCAGATGTACAAAGAGCTGGTACCATTCTTACTGAAACTATTCCAGAAAGTGAGGAGGGAGTCCTCCCTAACTTATTCTATGAAGCCAATGTCATCCTGACACAAACTGGGCAGAGACACGACAAAATAAAATTTTAGGCCAATATCTTTAATGAACATCGATGCAAAAATCTTCAACAAAATACTTGCACATCAAATCCAGCAAGACATCAAAAAGTTAATTCACCATGATCAAGTAGGCATCATCCCCAGGATGCAAGTTTGCCTCAACATACACAAATCAGTAAATGTGATTCGTCACATAAACAGAACTAGAGACAAAAACCACATGATTATCTCAATAGAAACAGAAAAGGCTTTTGATAAAGTTCAATATCTCCTCAGGTTAAAAACTATCAAGAAGCTAGATATTGAAGGAACATATCTTAAATTAGTAAGAGCCTCCTACAACAAACTCACAGCCAATATCATACTGAATGCGGAAAAGCTGGACTTATTCCCCTTGAAAACTGGCCCAAGATAATGATGCCCTCTCTCACCACTCTTATTCAGCATAGTATTAGAAGTCCCGGCAAAATAAATCAGGCAAGAAAAAGAAATAAAGACCATCTAAATAGGAAGAGAGGAAGTCAAACTATCCCCATTTGCAGATGACATAATTTTATGTCAAAGCTCCTTCAGCTGATAAACAATTTCAGCAAAGTTGCAGGATACAAATTCAATGCACAAAAATTACTAGCATTTTTATACATCGACAACAGCCAAGCCAAAAGCCAAATCAAGAATGCAATCCCATTCACAATTGCCACAAAACAATAAAATACCTGGGAATACAGCTAACCAAGGAGGTGAAAGATCTCTACAATGAGAATT
Source organism: Homo sapiens (assembly GCF_000001405.40). NCBI lineage: Eukaryota > Metazoa > Chordata > Mammalia > Primates > Hominidae > Homo > Homo sapiens. The sequence continues at coordinate 85,468,314 of NC_000010.11, forward strand.
ACAAAACACTGATCAAAGAAATCAGAGAAGACACAAACAAATGGAAAAACATTCCATGCTCATGGATAGGAAGAATCAATATCATTAAAATGGCTATACTGCCCAAAGCATTTTACTGATTCAATGTTATTTCTATCAAACTACCAATAATATTCTTCGCAGAGCTATAAAAAATTATTTTAAAATTCATATGGAATCAGTCAGAATGAATATTATTAAAAAGTCAAAATATAACAGATGCTGGAGGGGTTGCAAAGACAATGGAACACTTATACACTGTTGGTGGCAGCATAAATTAGTTCAGTCATTATGGAAAGCAGTGTGGCAATTCTTCAAAGAGCTAAAAACAGAACTACAATTCGACCCAGCCATCCAATTACTGGAAATATACCCAAAGGAATATAAATCATTTAAACATAAACAAACATTCAGGCAAATATTGAAAGGATCCTGAATAGCCAAGGCAATCCTAAGCAAAAAGAACAAAGCTGGAGGCATCACATTACCTGACTTCACACTATACTACAGGGCTACAGTAAACAAAACAGCATGGTACTGGTAGAAAAACAGACACATAGTTCAATGATAAAGAATAGAGAGCCCAGAAACAAGGCTGCATACCTACAACCATCTGATCTTTGACAAAGATGACAAAAACAAGCAATGGGGAAAGGACTCCTTATTCAATAAATGGTGCTGGGATAACTGGCTAGCCATATACAGAAGGTTGAAATTAAACCCCTTTGTTACACCATGTACAAAAATCAACCCAAGATGGATTAAAAGACTTAAATGTAAAACCCAAAACCATAAAAACCCTGGAAGACAACCTAGACAATAACATTCTGGACATAGGAATGGGCAAAAAATTCGTGATGAAGACACCAAAAGCAATCACAACCAAAGAACAAAGTTCACAATTGGTGTCTAAACTTAAGAACTTTTGCACAGAAAAAGAAACTATCAAACAACCTACAGAATGGGAGAAAATTTTTGTAAACTATGCATCTGACAAATGTCTACTATCCAGCATCTATAAAGAACTTAAACAAATTTACATGAAGACAACAAACAATATTATTAAAAAGTGGGCAAAGGACATGAAGAGACACTTTCAAAAGAAGACATGCATGTGGCCAACAAGCATATGAGGAAGAATTTAATATCACTGACCATTAGAGAAAAGCAATTGAAAACCACAAGATACCATCTCACACCAGTCCTAATGAATATTATTAAAAAGTCATAATATAACAGATGCTGGGGAGGTTACAAAGCAAGTGGAACATTTACACAGTTGGTGGCAGTGTAAATTAGTCTAACAGTTGTGGAAAGCAGTGTAATGATTCTTCAAAGAGCTAAAAGCAGAACTACCATTCAACCCAGCAATCCCATTACTGGAAATATACCCAAAGGAATATAAATCATTCTAACATAAACACACATGCACAAAAATGTTCATTGCGGCACTATTCACAGTAGCAGAGACATAAAACCAACCCAAATGTCTATCAATGACAGATTGGATAAAGACAATGTGATACCTAAACACCAAGGAATACTATTCAGCCATAAAAAAGAACAAGATTAAGTCTATTGCAAGATCATGGATGAAGCTGGAGGCCATTATCCTTAGCAAACTAATGCAGGAACAGAAAACCAAATACCAGATGTTCTCACTTATACTTGGGAGATAAATGATGAGAATTCATGGGCACAAAGAGGGGAACAATAGTCACTAGGGTGCACTTCAGGGTAGAGGGTGGGAGGAGGGAAGAGGATTATTTAAAAAAAAAAACATTGGGTATTAGGCTTATTACCTGGGTGACAAAATAATCTGTACAATAAGCCCCTATCACACAAGTTTATCTATATAACAAACCTGCAATGTACCCGTGAACCTAAAAGTTATAAAATAAATATTTGAAAATAAGTGCTGAAAAGGAGAAAAAAATAAATAAAAATAAGGATTGGTTAAGTTAAAAATAATAAGGATCAGAGCAGAAATAAATGAATTTGAAATGAAGAGAACAATGTAAAAGATCAATGAAACAAAAAGTTTGATTTTTGTAACATTAAACAAAACTAACAAACCTTTAGCCATACTGAGAAAAAAAAAAAGAAGATCCAAAGAAAAAAGCAGAGATGAAAAAGCAGACCTTACAACTGATATTGCACAAATTGAAAAAAATCACCAACTTTGAGCAACTATATGCCCCAAAATTGGAAAATCTAGAAGAAATAGACACATTCCTTGATACATACAACCTACCAAGATTGAACCAGCAAGAAATCCAAAACCTGAACACACTAATAACAAGTAAGGAGATAGAGCCATAATAAAAAATCTCCCAGTAAAGAAAAGCCTGGGTTCCAACGACTTCACTGCTGAATTCTACCAAACATCTAAAGAATTTATACCAATCCTACTCAAACCATTTCAAAAAATAAGGGAGGCAGAAATATTTCCAAATTCATTCATCCTATGAACCCATTATTCCCCTGATACTAAAACCAGACAAAGACACATAAAAAACAAACAAAACTACAGCCCAATATCTCTTATAAATATTGATGTAAAAATCTTCAACAAAAACTACTAGCAAACGAAATTCAATAATATATTAAAAAGAACATGCATCGTGATCAAGTGGAATTTATCCCTAGGATGTAAATTTATTTTTAAAAAAGATGTAGTATCTGAACTGGGCATGGTGGCATGTGCCTGTAGCCCTAGCTACTCAGGAGGCTGAGGCAGAGGATCTTTTGAGCCCAAGAATTTGAGGTTGCAGTAATCTATGATCATACCACTGTACTGAAAGTTGCAAGAGAAAAGCAACTCATCACACACAAGGAATTGTTAATAAAATTAACAGTCAATTTTACAAAAAAAAAAAACCTAAGGAGATAAGAAGTTAGTGAGAAAATATATTTAAAATGCTAAAAGAAAAAAAACGAAGCTGTCAAAAAAGAATGTGATTGTCAACAAAATTATTCCTCAAAAAATGAAGGAGAAATTAAGACATTCCCATATAAACTGAAATTGAGGGAGGTTGTTACCAGCCAATCTGCAAGACCTTTTAGGTATGCTAAAAGAAACCTTTAAGATAAAAATAAATGAACAATATACAGTAACTCAAAGATATATGAAGATATAAATATCTTTGGTAAAGGTAACTACAAAGCTAACGTTAAAGTCAATAATTTTACATTTTTGGTTTGCAACTCCACATTTTATATTCTACATGATGTAAAAGTAGATGTATAAAATAATTAGAAATTGATATATTAAACACATAATGTATAAAGACATAATATGTTACAACAACACAGAAGGGGACAGTGCTAGATGGAAGCAGATATTTTGCATGTTATTCAAGCTCTCTTGGTATAAACCAGATTGTTATAAATTTGAGATGTTTGATGTAATCTGCTACTGTTAATCAAAATTGTAAGCCACGGTAACCACTAAAAAATATTTAAAATATATATACAACAGAAGTGAGAAGAGTATCTAAATGGTACATTGCCAAAAATGGAACAAACACAAAAGAAGTTGAAAATTGAGCAAATGAGGAAAAATAGAGCTATAAGATATACAGAAAGGAAATAGAAAAATAGCAGAAGTCTTTTCTTAATTATTTTGTGTACAAATGGATTAAATTCTGCAATCAAATTGTAAAGCTTGGTAGAATGAATTTTTTAAAATCTTACTATTATTCAAAGTGATCTACAGATTCAATATGATCCCTATCAAAATTTCAACAGCCATTTGTACAGAAATGAAAAATCTAACCCTCAAATTTATACGAAATTTCAAAGGGCCACAAGTAGCCAAAACAGTCTTGAAAAATGCTCCACATTATTATCCATTAGGGAACTGCAAGCTAAAACTATAAAGAAGTACTACTTCATAGTCATTAGCTATAATTTAAAACAAAGAAAATAGCATAAAGAAAATGTGGCACACATACACCATGGAATACTATGCAGCCATAAAAAATGACGAGTTCATGTCCTTTCTAGGGACATGAATGAAGCTGGAAACCATCATTCTCAGCAAACTATCTCAAGGACAAAAAGCCAAACACCACATGTTCTCACTCATAGGTGGGAATTGAACAATGAGAACACTTGGATACAGGAAGCAGAACATCACACACTGGGGCTTGTTGTGGGGTGGGGGGAGGGTGGAGGGATAGCATTAGGAGATATACCTAATGTAAATGATGAGTTAATGGGTGCAGCACACCAACATGGCACATGTATACATATGTAATAAACCTGCACGTTGTGCACATGTACCCTAGAACTTAAAGTATAATAAAAAAAAAAAAATATATATATATATAAAGAAAAGAAAATAGCATGGATGTTGGAAATACTGGAATCATACATTGCTTCTGCAAATGTAAGATGATTCAGTTATTGTTGTCAATATTTTGGCAGTTTTCCAAAAAGGTAAACGTAAGATAACTATACAATCCTGCAAGTCTACTCCTGGGTGCATACCCAAAACAACTAAAGAGGGACTCAAACAAGCTTATGTACATGCATGTTTATAGCATCACTCAGGTGGAAATAGCTCATATGTCCCTCAATGGATGAATGGTTAAACAAATTTTGATTTATTCATTCAATGAAATATTGTTCTGCCATCAAAAGGGAATTAATTAATCATACATGCTACAACATAGATGGACCTTGAAATTATAATGCTAAATAAGGAAGTCAGACACAAAAGTTCTGAAATATTGTATGATTCCATTTATATGAAATTTACATAATTGATAATCCATAGAGACAGAATGCAAGTAGATGGTTGCTAGTGGGTGTGGGAAATAGGATGAAGAGAAACTGCTTAATGGGTAAGGGGTTTTGTTTTAGAATTACATAAATGTTTTAGAACTAAAGAGAACTGTTGGTATTACAATATTGTTAACATACTAAATGTCACTGAATTGTTCATTTTAAAATGATGGATTTTGTTATGTGAATTTTACTTCATTAATGTGTAAAGGAAAGGGAGGATAGTTGTCTATAGAAGACACACCTTTGCTCCAAAATCCTAATGACTTTGTGCTGTAATTCTACTATGGTCTGCCAAGAGGTCCATATAGCATCCTCAAGGATCAAAGACACTTCAAGTTCCATTGGATTTGCTACTTTGTAAGATACCAGTGGCAAGACAGGAGCCCAGCCCTGCTGCAGGACTTGTTTTGCTCTATGTTCCTCTGAACACCAGTGGATTTATGGGTTACTTATTAAATGGTTTAAAACAGACACTCAAATGTAATATACATGGCCTCCATAATCCAAAACAGCCCACACAAAATGGCTTGGAGTCTCTTTCCATGGACATGAGCAACATATCCTTCATTTTGGAGAAAATAACACAAATGTCACAGACCACTGGATCTCTGAAAACTTCAACCATGTGTCAGGTCTCCATTTTCACTGGGTTTGCTCCCCATTCCCTGGCCTTTGTTTAAATTCTACAGTGGGTACTATAATGACACCCTTGATCAGATAAAAGAAGACAAATTTGAATAAGCTTTAGCAGCAACTTCAAAAGTTACCAATCTCTACAAATGATGCCTATAGATTGATTTAATGCATTTACTGCAAAAGTTACATTTATATAATTTATATAATAAAATATGACTTTTCACTTAGATCAAATGACTGCTTTTCTTCTTTTTTTTTTTTTTTTGAGACAGAGTCTTGCTTTGTCGCCCAGGCTGGAGTGCAGTGGCGCAATCTCGGCTCACAGCAAGCTCCGCCTCCCGGGTTCACACCATTCTCCAGCCTCAGCCTCCCGAGTAGCTGGGACTGCCGGCACCCGCTACCACACCCAGCTAATTTTTTTTGTATTTTTAGTAGAGATGGGGTTTCACTGTGTTAGCCAGGATGAGGATGGTCTCGTTCTCCTGACCTCGTGATCCACCCACCTCGGCCTCCCAAAGTGCTCGGATTATAGGCGTGAGCCACCACGCCCGTCCAAATGACTGCTTTTCTAATTTCACTTATATTTGATTTCAACATTTCTTCTGAATATATGAAGAGTGAGGAAAAGTTGTTAACAAGTTGATTTAAATATCAGAAGGAAGATTTTACAAATAGTTAAATGAAGTGAGACTTTTATAAGTTCTATCAGATGCTTCAAACAAAAAATTGAGGTAACTCCAATAACAGGTCAGATTTTAGTCCACTTAGAGAATCTAAATAAAGTGGTTATAAGTTCCTTTTATTGAAGGAGAAACATATGATGTTATTGTAAATACAATTTTAAGTTCAGCTAAAAAATTCAATTTTGAGAATTAATTTGTTGGGCAGTAAAAATACAAATGAAAATTTTAGTGAAGCACAGCCTTATATTCTTTTGCAAAAAGAACAATTTTACTAAATTAATGGACCTATGTAATAAAAATGTACTTGGAATTGTTTATAGTACACACATAATTTCTAATTGCTCTCAAACAAGCATCAGTATTCTAAAGATGCAAATACAAAGCATAGCCAAAATATATCGATATGTGCATATATACAGAGAAACTGAATGACAATTAGCCTGACAAAAATACTGACTACAAAAATTCAGCTATGGCAGCACATTCTTTCACTCTGTGTTGCTTGATATCAGTCAAATTTTAGAAATGTATAAGCCTTTGAAGAAGTACTTTGTAAAACAACTTAAATGTCCTACAAAGGTATTGGACATTGTTCAGATAAGTTTTCTAAATCTTTCATGCGTTTTATTAAAAATCAGCTGTAAATCATTAGGCAGCATATTCAATAAATAGAGGGCAAAAGAATCAACTTTTGCACTTTCAAAAATTTGAAACTTTTGAAAGCAAAGCTTACAAACAGAAAGACATTTAAATTTAATTCTTCAAAAGAAAAAATGAAACAAAAAATTAAGCAAGAAGAATTCAAATAGTGTTCAAGATTTTTAAAAATTCTATAATTATGCTTTCAAATATCTCAGTTGTGGGGATAATTTTTTTAGTAAAGATTCTATTTTTATTTCAATAGGTTGATATTCAGCAACAGAGCAGAATGAAATCGAGATGACCTCTGGCTTTACAGCATCTGAATTTGATAAAACAGTCAAAAGAATTATAATTGCAAATAACCTATTTGATGAGATTTTGGTTACAAAACTATTTTTCAAAGAAAAGTACACTTGACAGAGGCCAAATAACAGTCCTTTGAAAATATATTATCTAAAATAGATACCAAATTTGATACAAAAATAGAATTATGACTAACCTCCATTTAGCAGTATTTTCTCTGAAATTATAAAGTTTCTCACCACTTGTAAAGAGAGAGTACTTTTTCATTTAAAAAAATTATGGTCTATAAAGAAAGATTAATTGAAAATGTCAACAGTTTGAAATGTTTTACTTATAAAAGGCAACTTTGAAAACTTTCTAGACATTTTATTATTAAAATATTTAATAAGTACATATTAAAAATAAAATCTTCTGAAAAATACCTATGACACAGGTAAGCTACAAAATTCATGAGGATACAAGAGTATTTGTCAAGAATAAAATTTTTTTGTTTCTTGTAATTTTAGATAATCAATAAAAAGTTTATTTTATGTTGCTTTAATGTATACAAAAACACATTATTAAGTTTTAGAAAAAGTTACAGAAAATCATTATAAAGACTCATTTTACACATCTACCAATACAATAAATTCAATTTATTAATCAATCGATAAATATTTCAAAATGATATAATTTTAATTCCATAAATTATATGGTCAGCCTATCACCTTCCTTAACCCTGACCCATTTATGCCTAATTCCTGACCTAGAGCTAGCAATCACAGGGTGCCAAAAATGGATCACCATGTTATCTCTAATGCCCACTAAACAAATATAAATAAATACACATTATGAGGAATAATATAACTTGGAGGTTAAGAGAATGGATTCTGGAGCCATATGAGGTCTGTGGTTCCAGAATTGCTATTCTGTAGCTGCCTGACCTTGCTTTAATTTCTTCATCTGTAAATGAAAATGATAGTCATAGCCTTGTCATGGCAATCAAATGAGTCAATATATGTACTTACAGCAGTGTAGACCTAATAAGAACATAATTATATCTTTTTTAATCTTATTTTTGCAATCTAAGTAGTAGTGAATTATTACAACTTCACTAGAATTCTGTTATCCACAATTTTCCTTCCATTTTCATTGATGTCCCCAAGTCCCTTGTTCTGAGCAACTTGAATTCCACTACCTACCTTCCCTTCTCTGTATCCCTATCCTTATTTCCATTCATACTGTATCTAATTCCTTTCATATTTCAGCCTGTCTTGTGGCAAACCAATCTTAAGTCCTGACTTTCTCTTTGCTCAATTTGCCAAACATAGCACATCAGCAGTAAGGACATTTCTGAATGCAATTCATCAACAGATTAGGTGGTGTTGCGATAAATCAAAATTTCCAGATTAGATTTCCAGAGCCTCAAAGGGAAACTCGGACGGGTTTCTCTTGCCACTGGTCCCTAAGGTAGAACACAATAGATTTATGGATGGTGTCATCTTCAACATGTCCACCAGATTACAGTCCAGTAGTTCTCTTGTTTGGCTTGAATCCATTGGCTGTACTAATTACTGAGATGGCTTTATGTGTGATCATGCCAAACAGCATCTTTGTTTGGATTTAGAGTTCTAGCAAAAAGGAAGCAAGAATGGCTTCTAGCCCAGAGATGATTTGCAAAAATACAAAGCAACCAAAAGGAGCAGAAAAATGACTCGCCAGAAATTTCAAACAAATGCTTCCCTCTAATAACATTTACTGGTGAAACAAACACAGAATAGGATGACAGTGCTTGGCTTGTAGGCAAAATTTTGGCTTAGTGTTTTTAGCCAAATTTCCATGTAACTTAAAGAGCTTAAGTTTTCCTGGGTGCCAAAAAGTGAAATCTCATCCACATTCCAAATCCTAGGGGCCTCTGGATAAAGGTAATTGAATCATAAATGACACGTAATTTCATGAAGATAAAGTCTGAATGAAGCAGAGATTGTTTCCTCCAAAAAACGAATTATGAGAAATACAATAACAAATTCTTTCTCCTCTCTTCCCACATGTTTCTGCCATGCTTGTTTTATCTGTGTTCAATATATTTACCTGATAGCTAATTGGCATCCTTCTCCTCTTCTCCTCCTTATGCTAGATCCGCACTCCGTATTGGGAATGAACCACCTACTTCTCCTACTGCTTGGCTTGATACTATGACTCTGTGATCTTCCCCCAACCACAGACATTGGTCATATTACCTCTCAGTTCCAGATATGATGCTACAACTCTTTTTTTTCCACATTTGTGCATCCACCCAACTCTCTCCATGACACCAAAGTAGGGAAAACATCCTCCTATCCTGTAGAGTCTTCCTTGTGAAGAAGGCTCTCATTAGGCCATAAATGGGGCTACCATGTACTTCATCGAATCTAATCTTTTGGGCTCAATCTCCATTACACTCAGCAAACTAGACTAAAAATTTCCCCTTTCCTCCAATAATCAACCATTGTCCTAGTACCAAGCTTACATGCAATATCTCCATCTTGCTTTGACCATGCATTCCACAATAATTTCCTGAGAACTTACCTTGTGCCCTGCCCTGAGTTACAAGCTGAATGCAGATATAAAAGTTTCTGACCTTGTTTGTATTTGTTTTCTAGGCTACTATTAAAAAAAAAAAAGTACCACAAACCAGATGGCTTAAAGCAACAGAAATTTGTGACTCACAGTTCTGGAGGCCAGAAATTCAAAATCAAGGTGTCAGCAGGTTAGTTCTTTCTGAAAGCCCTGAGAGAGCACCTCTTTCATGTCTCTCATGTAGCTCCTGAGAGTTGCTAGCTAATTATATCTGCAAAAATCCTTTTCAAAATAAGATCACATTCAGAGGTTCTGGGTGGACATGTGTCACACCATTCAACCCGGTACACTTTTCTTAAGAAATTCATAGTCTAGTGGTAGATAGAGATAATTAAAGAATAAACTACCACCCAGTTTAATGTGAGGTTTGAGAATGATAAGCTACTATGCTATAGAAGTACAAAGGAGAAACATCTAACTAGCTTGGGATTAGGAAAAATCTCTCCTATGGATTCTATGTCCTTCAATGAGGGTAGAAGGATAAATAAAAATCAGGTAGGGCAGGAGGATATAGAAAGGTTACCAGGATGTATTAATCCCCCAACAGGTGTTGGAGACCATGAATCTAAAGTAGCACCCATTTCTAGGTTTGTCTTATGTTCTCTAGATATACCAAGCAGTCACAATGCAAGAGAAAAGGAAGGCATATATTTGTATTTACCCAAGCTCATGGTATTAGGGAGGGGAAGAGAGAGAAGGAGATGAGGCTATTGGTGAGAATATAGAAAAAGAAGTGAACCTGAGAAGACATCGATAGATAGAACAGCATGGAAAATTGAGGGTCTTCTGCCTTATTAAACTGAAAGATGAGGTGAGGCATCTAGATGGCAGAAGACATAGAACTTCATGTTCAGAGCGTAGTAAGTTCCAGAAGTAGAAAGATCCTAGGTGTCAGGAAGTTGGATGGATATTTCTGCATGTGACCTAAAGTAAAATCAGGTCTTAGGGTAGGGTAGAAGGCTAGACTAGGTGCCCAAATTGCTTGAATTGTAATATGTGACCAAACGAATAGTAGAAAGGGAGAATTAGAAAGTTTTATGGTTGGATGTCATCAGCTTTGATAACCATTATAGTTGCTAATATTTATTAAGTGTCTTCTAAGAGCCAGGTATGGATATATATGTTAATTTAATTTTTGAAATATCTATATGGGTATATGCATATCTACCATTATTTACTTCAATTTACTGGTGAGCACTATAAGAATGAGTCAAATAACTGTTCAGTAAGTGGTATAGCAGCATTTTATTCAGGCCATCCAACCCCTGGTGGTTTTGCACACTTAATTACTACCTAAGATGAGGGGTATGGTTTATTTGGGTTCAGAGAAATAATTTGGAATGGGCAGTGAGGGCTTCCTACCTCGGAATGAGCATCTGCTGATGAAGACTGCCATAAATCATCATCAGCAGGGTATGTGGAACGTTAGTTTTATCACATAGAGGCAAGACTCAGTGAGGACTTTGATGATGGGCATGTGCTGGTTTAACATATAGCAAGACCTTAAAGGCTCCAGTGCTAGAGGAAGCGCAACAGTGTGAAGGTGGATTTTGGAAGCAGAAACTCTAAAACAATATGGAGTTAAGAGAAGATGTGCATTTTATTATAGAATAAAAAGTTGCAAGAATATGAGGCAGAAAATTTTGGCTAGTTCTAGGATTTCACAAAAGAATCTGGATAGAGCTGTTTACCACCATGATGGATTATAACCCAGTGAGCTATCAGAGGCTTGGTGATGCCACTAGACAAGGCATCATGTTGAGCATCTTTGCACAATGCACAATCTTTATGCTGCCAGGTTCACCGTGATATATTTATATTTATAATAAATTTTATCTTAGATTCTCTCTGGGCTACAGATCAAAATTTTAAAAAGGTAAGTCTCTACTCCATTTCGAGGCTGCTTGTTGACTGGTCTGGTCATTCTTTGTCTTTGTCATTGGGTGATCAGCTAAGTTTGGTGGTGGAAAACATACACCAGGCTTGCAGGTAGCTGAGGCTTGCTGGGGCCAGGGATTATCCTCCAAGCTGCCATTCTGAGCATGGCAACCCAGATCTTATTCATTCAACAGATGCAGTGCTGCAGATTCTGTGTGAATTCAAAGAAAGGAGGACTCAAACAAGAGGTAATAGACTTGTGGGATTTCAGATATTGATCACATCCTTGTCCAAGTGGAGAAAAATTTTCTACATCAGATCCCAGTGAATGAGCTCATCATAATACTGTGAAATCAAGACTTCCAAATCCGTTAAACCGGAAAACCTCAAATCTAAACAGACATTCAAAGCCACTCAAGACGCAGACAAAAGCACTATCTGCCGGAGTATACAGGCTACCAACTTGATAACAATTATGCATCCATACATATACACGTGCACATATGTGCATGAGTGTGCACACATACACACACATAAGAAAAGTGATTCATCTGGTCTAATGCAGGAGAAGGAAAACCCTTAGCATGATGCTAAATACAGAAGTAATAATAAAGTTAGAAAATCCCCACTTGTACTACAACTAGTGAATGAATATTTCATGGGGAAAAGGATACTTACATAGTCTCAAAGTTTCTTCCCACAATTTATTTTTTTACAAAAGGGAAAAAAATAATAATTTCACAATTGAGAAACCTGGTGAATTACCATGTTAAACAAGTGATTAAAGTTAATATAACTAATATTGGGTAATCTAGAATCATATGATATTTGATATAAATGCATTGAGAAGTATACAATATTGCTCCTGTTCCACAAGTGACAAGTAATAATAAAAGCATAAATAAATAAAATGAGAAGACATCAGACAAACACAAATTGATGGACATTCTAACACTGTGCCTGCAGTGTTAGAATATTCATATTAAAGGAGACTGAAGATTCATGACAATTAAATGCAATGCTTTTAATATTGGATTACTAAACTGAGAAAATAACTATACAAAGGACATTATGGGGAAAATGGGCAAGTCACTTAACCATTCTGTGTCTCATTTTTCTAAACTGACAAAGGGGGCTAAACCTATTCATCTCCAAAAGTTATTAGTGCATGAAATGAGATATCTTTGTGAAGTATGTAGCACAGTTCTGAGCATAATAAATATCTAATATATACTCACTGATAGCTTTCTTATTCACCATAGTCCCCTTTCTCCACTCCGTTATTTATTCTTACTTTGTAGTTGGGCTGATTCTGACAATGTTATTTATTTTTGCCACCTAATTGTAGCCTTTTGGGTAACTTTTGCAACTGCCCAATGCCAAGTTGTAATAAGTCAGCTTCTGGCCTTTGCTTTCTCTTCTACCTGCTTATAGTGTCTGTGTGTGAGTGCGTCTGAGGGTCTGAGCCTTCTCTCCTGATATTACCTACATTTGTTCTCAAATGTCACTGTCTGAGTAATACTTTCCCTGACTATCTGCCAGAGTATGATGACTACATTTACATGGAAATCTACATTTACATGGAAATCTACAACTACTCAGCAATTTCTAACCTCCTTCATTTTTCCTTATAATATGCATACTTTAACATACAACAGGCATTTACTTGATTGTTTTACTTGGTTATTTTCTGTCTTCCCCTCATTGGAATGTAACCTCCAGGAGGGCAGGATATTTTGGCTGTTCTTATTTGATATATCTCAAGCATCTGGAACAGAATTGACACTTCAAAGATGCCTGTTGAAGGGATCATAAAGGCATTTATGAAAGGCATTCATAAATACTTGTCAATGAATGAGTTTTTCTCATTTACCTGGGAGGTGCCTTCTCCTTTCTTAGATGAGGTGTGCATATGACACACATGGCAGCCACTGTGTGCCAAAGTGGGAATTTATGGCCATTATTTAGGTTAATTAGTATTTCTCAAACTGAGTTTCACAAAGAAGAACTCAGAAGTTTATGAATTCATGTAGAACTAAAAAGATGAATTCTCTAAGATTGTATTGGAGTAATTATAGAAATGAGAGTGAAAATTTGGGACATGTGAAATATAAGGAAATGAAACTTATCCAGAGAGTTTCTTGCCAAAAAAAAAAGATTAGATTACCTTGTTACACAGAAAAATGGGGCCACATGACAGAGTCCCCATTCAGAAACTAGGAATAAAAGGAAAACAGAAATAAAGGTATTTTAAGTGAATGTGAGGAGAAGTAAGTGTCCAATTATACCTAATAATTTAGGGTGTCACCATAACAAGTTTCTAAATATTTCAAAAATTACACTATATTGAATGTATACTTTTAAAGAAAAGTATGAATTAACTTTTTTCATGCCAAGAAAATGCTCATTCACAATTATAAAATTAAACTCAAAAAAGCATATTTTGGTAAGGACAGTTAACATGAGATCTATCTGGTTAACAATATTTTAAGTGTCTAATGAATTATTTTTTACTATAGGGACAATGTTGTGCAGCAGCTCTCCAGAGCTTATTTATCTTGCTTAACTAAAACTTTATACCCATTGATTAGAAACTCCCTATTAACTCTTCCCCCAGTTCCTGGCAATGACCACCACTCCCTGATTCTATTAATTTGACTATTTTAGATACCTCAGAGTAGGGTAATCACACAATATATGTCTTTCTGTGGCTGACTTATTTCACTTATCATTATGTTCTCAAAGTTCATCCATGTTGTTGCATATTGCAGAATTTCCTTTTTTAAAGGCTGAATGGTACTGTATTTTATGTATATAACACATTTTCTTTACTCACTTATTTGTCAACAGACAATAAAGTTTCACAACTTCATTGTAAATAAATATGCAATAAATATGAGTGCTAATATCTCTTCAAGACACTAATTTCAATTATTTGGACAGATACCCAGAAATGAAACTGTTGTATTATATAGTAGTTCTATTTTTTAGTTTTTCCATAAACCTCCATACTGTTTTATGTAGTAGCTGTACTAATTTACATTCCCGCCAATTGTGTGCAAGTGTTTCCGATTCTCTGTGTCCTTACCGGCATCTATTGTTTTTTGTCTTTTTAATAATAGCCATTCTTTGATAATAGCTATCCTGACAGTTATGAGGTGATACCTCATTGCAGCTTGGATTTGCATTTTCCTGATAATTAGTGATGTTGAGCATCCTTCATATATCTGTTGGGCAGTTGTATATCTTCTTGGGGTAAGTTCATAGCCCATTGTTTAACCTGGTTATACCTGTTACTTTACTATTGAGTTCCAGGAGTTTCTTATATATTTTGGATAATAAATCATTATCGGAAATATGATTTGCAATTTTTTCCCATTCTGTGGGTGTTCTTTTCATTCCATTTATTGATTTATTTTCTCTAGGGAAGCTTTTTAGTTTGACATAGCCCCACTTATTTATTTTTGGTTTTGTTCTTTGTCTTTTATTGTATTATTCGTGAAATAATTGCTGAGACCAATGACATGAAGTTTTTTCCCTATACTTTCTTATAGTATCATTATAGTTTCAGGTGTTATGTTTGAGTTTTTAATCCATTTTGAATTGATTTTCTTGTGTGTATGATGTAAAATAAGATTCAATTCCATTCTTTTGCATGTGGAAATCCAGTTTTCCCAGTGTCTTTTGTTGAAGAGACTGTCCTTTCTCCATTGTATATTCTTGGCAGCCTTGTCAAAGATCAGTCGATTGTATGCATGGATTTATATCTGGGGCCTCTATTTTATTCTTTGTTTTATATGTCTGTGCTTATGCCAGTAGCATACGCTTTGGTTACTGTTGCTTTGTAGTTTATTTTTTAAAATCAGGCCATGTGTTGTCTTCTACTTTGGTATTTCTCAAGATTCATTGGCTATTTATGCTCTTTAAGGATGCCATATTAATTGTAAAACTTTTTTAAATGTCTATAAAACAGTCACTGGGATTCTGATAGCAATTGCATTAAATCTGTAGATTGCTTTAGTGAATATGAATATTTTTACAATATTAAGTCTTTTAGTTCATAAAACTTTATTCCTAGGCATTTAATTCTTTTGAAGCTATTGTAATAGGACTTTTTCTTAATTTCCTTTTCAGATAGTTCATTGTTAGTGTATAAAGACACACAAAAAGTTGTTTGTTGATTTTGTATTCCGCAACTTTATCGAATTCTTCATAAGCTCTGACATTTTTTGTGGAATATATATATATATATAGTATATATATATTATATATATACACACATATATATATATATATACTATATATACATATAAAATTATCTGCAAGTATGGACAATTTCACTTCTTCCTTTTCAATTAGAATGTCTCTTAAATTTTTTCTTGTCTAATTGCCCTGGCAAAGACTTCCAGTACTATGTTGAATTGATATGGCAAGAGTGAATATCCTCTCCTTGTGGCTGATTTTGGAGCAAAGGCTTTTAGTCTTTCACTGTTGAGCATTATATTAATTGTGAACTCTTCATATATGACCTTCATTACTTTAAGGTTTTTCCTTCTATGCCTAATTATTACAAGTTTTTTTAATAATGAAAGGATATTAAATTTTGTCAAATGACAAAATACATTTTTCTGCATTTATTGATATAATCATGTGACTTTTATCTTTTATTCTGTTATCTTAGTTAGTCTACCTAATAGTTTGTCAATTTTGTCTTTAAAAAAACTCTTAGTTTCATTTACTTTTAAATTGTTTTTCTTTTTTAGACATTTTTATTTGTTCACATCTATGGTTTTCTTTTCTATTTTCTATTTTATTTATTTTTACTGTAAATTTTGTTATTTCTTATAATAGCATAAGAAGTATGAAACTCATTAATAGTGAATATATTAACAAACATGGAATACTTTCTACTATAATGGTGGTGGTTAAATAACTTTTAATTATATTATTAAAGTTAAAAGACAAAAGTATTACAAATAAGCATAACTATAAATATGTTAAAAGACACACAATATAAGTAGATGTAAATTATAACAATAATAACATAAACAGTGAGAAGAAGAGAAGTTAAAGTGTAGTCTTTGCATGTGACTGAATTTAAGTTGTTGTCAGCTTCAAACAGTCTGTTACAAATATGCCATTTTATATAATCCCCAAAGTAACTGCACACACAAAAATACCTATAGATGTTACACACAAGAAAAAGAGAAAAGAATCAAAGTATAACAATATGTAAATGAACAAAACACAAAGATGACAGTGAGAGGAAAAGGCAGGCAAAAGAACTATTTGACTAATGGAAAACAGCTAACAAAATGACAATGGTAAATTCTTCTCTATTGATAATTACTTTAAATGTTAATGGTTTGAACTACTTAATCAAAAGGTATAGAATGGATAAATAAATTAATAAACAAGACCCAACTATATGCTGCCTACAAAAGACTTACTTCACTAAGGACATGCATAAACTAAAAGTAAATAGATGAAAAAAGATGTCCCATGCAAATGAAAACCAAAATAGAAGAGGGGCAGCCATACTTAGATAAAATAATCTGTTTGTTAAAAATTGTGACAAAAGAAAAGAATGTTATTATATGTTGGTAAAGAGGTCAATTCATCAAATGTTTATACAAACATTTGTCTGTCTATCTATCATCTATATTTATCTATCTATCTATCTATCTATCTATCTATCTATCTGCAACCAACTTTGGAGAATCTAAACATATAAAGCAAATATTAACAGATCTGAAGGGAGAAATAGATAGCAATAGAGTAATAGTAGATGACTTCAATGCCTCACTTTAAATAATGGAAATATTATACAGATAGAAAATAAAGAAACAATGGACTTGTAATATACCTTAGAACAAATACACCTGACAGACATAAAATAAGTCTTCACTCCACATCAACTTTAAGTAAAATTACATGCAGTATGCTATAGGAACTTGACTTTTTTAATATTAATTAGCTTAGGGTAAAATTGATTTCATTATACAATCCACTGTTTTACTTAAAATCAGTTTCCAAGAACCTATCGATAACTTGGAATGAGGACTTAACTCTATACAGAAAATTTCTTTCAATAGCAGCAGAGTAAACATTCTTTTCAAGCATACGTGAAACATTTTCCAGGATAGATCATATGTTAGGTCAGAAAACAAGTCTTAACAAATTTAAGAAGATTGAAATCATATGAAGCATTTTTTCTGAGCACAATGGTATGAAACTAGAAATAAATGACAGCAAGGACAAAGCCAGAAAAATTACAAATATGTGGAAATTAAACAACACCCTGCTGAACAACAAATAACTCAAATAAGAAATTAAAAGCAAAATAAGAAAATATCTTGAGACAAATAAAAATGGAAACAAAATATATGAGATATACAGCAAAAGCAGGTTTTTTTTCAACTTTTATTTTAGAATCAGGGTACACGTGCAGATTTGTTACAAAGGTATAATTCATGATGCTGAGGCTCAGAGTATGATTGAATCCATCACCCAGGTAGTAAGCATAGTACCCAAGAAGTCGTTTTTCACCTTTTGCTCCCTTCCCTGTCTCCACCTCTAGCAGGCCCTTCTATTGTTCACATCATTATGTCCATGTGTACCCAAAGTTTAGCTCCCACCTATAAGTGAGAGCATGTGGTATTTGGTTTTCTGTTTCTATGTTAGTTCACTTAGAATAATGACTTCCAGCTACATCCATGTTGCTGCAAAGGACAAGGTTTTGTTCTTTTTTATGGCTGCATAGTATTCCCTGGCGTATATATACAGCATTTTCTTTATCCAGTCCATTTTTTATTTTTTATTTTTTTGAGACGGAGTCCCGCTCTGTCGCCCAGGCTGGAGTGAGTGCAGTGGCGCTATCTCTGCTCACTGCAAGCTCCGCCTCCCAGGTTCAGCCATTCTCCCGCCTCAGCCTCCTGAGTAGCTGGGACTACAGGCGCCTGCCACTGCGCCTGGCTAATTTTTTGTATTTTTAGTAGAGACGGGGTTTCACCGTGTTAGCCAGGATGGTCTCGATCTCCTGACCTCGTGATCCGCCCGCGTCAGCCTCCCAAAGTGCTGGGATTACAGACTTGAGCCACTGCGCCCGGCCTATCCAGTCCACTATTGATAGGCACCTGGGTTGATTCCATGTTTTAGCCATTGTGAATAGTGCTGTAATAAACACAAAGGTGCATGTGTCCTTTAGGTAAAACAATTTATTTTTCTTTGAATTTATACCCCGTAATGGGATTGCTGGATCAGATCGTAGTTCAACTCTTAGTTCTGTGAGAAATCTTCAAACTGTTCTCCACAATAGCCAGATTAATTTACATTTCCACTAACAGCGTGTAAGTGTCTCCTTTACTCCATAACCTCATTAACATCTGTTATTTTTTTTACTTTGTAACAAAAGCCATTCTGATTTGTGTAAGATATTATCTCATTATGGTTTTGATTTGCATTTATCTGATAATTAGTGACGATGAACATTTTTTTCATATCTTTGTTTGCCACTTCTATATCTTCTTTCAAGAAATATCTGTTCATATAGTTTGCCTAAATTTTAATAGGGCTATTTGTTTTAACAAAAGCCATTTTCAAAGGAAAGTGTATAATAACGAATGTCTACATTATAAAAAAGTAAGATGTCAAATACACAAGCTAAATTTAACTTCAAAAAAGTAGAAATAGAACACACTAAGCCCAAAATTAGTAAAAGGAAGGAAATAACAATCATAGAAGAAATAAATGAAAGAGAGACTAGAAAAACAACAGAAAAAAATATGTAAAAAGAAGAGCTGGTTTTTTGAAAATGTAAACAAAACTGATCAACTCTTAGCTAAATAGAAAAAAAGATATAAAACATTCAAATAAACAAAATCAGGAATGAAAGAGGAGATATTACAATTGATGCCACAGAAATACAAAGGATCCTAAGAGACTACTTATGAGTAATTATAAGTCAACAAATTGAATAACCTGAAAAGAAATGTATAATTTCCTACATACATGCAACCCAAGTTTAAATCATGAAGGCATAGATGTCTGAAGAGATTAATAATGAGTAAAAAGATTGAATAAGTAATGAAAAATCTCCCAACAAAGAAAAATTCAGGACTAGATGCCTTCGCTAGTAAATTTTACCAAACATTTAAAGAAAAATTAACACCAATCCTTTCCAAACTTCTCCAAAAAACTGAAGAGGAGGGAACACTTCAAATTTTATTTCATTAGGCCAGCATTACAGTAATACCAAAGCCAGACAAGAATACTATAAGAGAAGAAAATTATAGGCCGATATTCTTAATGAGCATAAATGCAAAAAATCCTCAACAAAATACTAGTAACTGAATTCAAGGTATATTAAAAGGATCTTACACCATGATCAAGTGGGATTTCTCTCTGGGATGTAATAATGGTTCAATATATGCAAATCACTAATCTTGATACATTGTATTAACAAAATGAAGGAAAAAATAAATATAATAATCTCAATAGATGCAGAAAAAACATTTGACAAATTCAACATCCTTTCACGATAAAAGCTCTCAACAAATTAAGTATAGAAGTAAATTACCTCAACTTCAACATAGTAAAGGCCATATGTGACACTCCACGCAGTTACCATATTCAATGGTGACAAGCTGAAAGATTTTCATGTAAGATCAAGAACAAAACAAGGGTGTCTACTTTCACCACATCTATTCAACATAGCACTGGAAGTCCTAACTAGGGTAATGGGGCAAAAAAGAAATAAAAGGCATCCAAATAAGAAAGGAAGAAATAAAATTGCCCTTGTTAGCAAATGACATTATCATATGTACAGAAAACTCCAGATTCCATTTTTTAAAAAACTGTAAAAACTAACACATGGATTCAGTAAGCTTGCATGATAACAAATCAACCAGCAAAAATAGTTGTATTTATACATACTAAAAACAAACTACTCCCCCCACCAAAAAATTAAGAAAACAGTCACGTTTACAATTACATCAAAAAGCATAAAATACTTAGGAATAAATCTAACTTAGGAGGTGAAAGATCTTACACTGAAAAATATGAAACATTATTGAAAAAAATTGAAGGCACAAATGAATGAAAAGTTATTTTGTGCTTATGAATTAAGAAGAATTAATATTCCTAAAAGTTATTACCACCAAAGCAATCTACAGAGTCAATGAAATCCATGTCAAATTACAATGGCATTTTTCATATAAATAGAAAAACAATCCTAAAATTCACCTGGAACCACTAAAGATCCCAAATAGCTAAAGCAATCTTGAGCAAGAAGAATGGAGCAGGAGGCATTACATGTCCTGATTTCAAAATATGATACATAGCTATAGTAATCAAAACACTATGGTTCTGGCACAAAAACAGACACATAGAGCAATGGAATAGAATCCTCTTGACATACATAGTCAATTAATTTTTAACAAAGGTGCCAAGCATACACAATGGAGAAAGGATAATCTTCAATCAATAATATTGGAAAAACTGGATATCCACATACAAAAGAATAAAATTAGACCCTACTTTACAATATACATAAAAAATTACTCAAAATTGATTAAAGACTTAAATGAAAGACTTGAAACTGTAAAACTCTTAGGAGAAAACTCCTTTACGTTGGTCTTGACAATAGTTTTTTAAATTTGATTCCAAAAGCACAGACAGCAGAAGCATAAGTGAACAAGTGGGGCTACATCAAACTAAAAAGGTTTTGCATAGTAAAGCAAACAACTAACAAAATGAACAGCCAACCCTTGGAATGAGATAACATATTTGTAAACCATATTTGATAAGGGCTTAATATCCAAAATATATAAGGTACTCATACATCTCCGTATCTATAAATGTATAAAACTGGATTAAAGAACAATTAATGAACCTTAATAGACCTTTTTTTTTCCAAAGGAAACTTACAAATGGCCAATAGGTGTATGAAAAGATGCTCAACATCATTAATCATCAGGAAAATCTAAATTAAAATCACAATGCGATATCACCCCACCTGTTAGAATTGCTCTTATCAAGAACAGAAAAAGAGGTTGGAGGAAGGAAAAAAAGGGGGTATAAGAATAGCCACCATTGATTTTGACCCTTTGGTCAAAAGATACAAACTTTCTTTTATAAGATGAATAAGTATTGGATATCTAATGTATAGCATGGTGACTATAGCTAACAATAATGTATCATATACTTGAGCTTTGCTAAGAGTAGAGATCTCAGATATTATCAGCAGAAAAAATAAATATGGTAACTATGTGACATGATGGATATGTTAATTACCTTGACTGTGATAGTTATTTCACAATGTACATATATCAAAATATGTTTTATACCTTAAATATATATAATTTTTGTCCATCTTCCCTCAATAAACCTGAAAAAATACTCTATGCAAAATCAAAAACATACAAAATGGCAAAAGTAAATTATTTTTTATCAATAATTATTTTAAATGTAAATGAATTAAACTCCTCAATCAAAAGACAGACTGAATGGATAAGAAACAAACAAACAAGGCCCTACAAGAAATTCACTTTTGATTTGAAGATGCATATAGGCTGAAAGTGAAGAGATGAAAAAAAGATATTTCATTTGAATGATAACCAAAAAGAACAATGGTGGCTATTCATATGTCAGACAAAAGAGACCTTTGAAACTGTCACAAGAGACAAAGAAGAACATTGTATAATAATAGTAGGGTCAATTTACCAGGAAAACATGGCAATTATAAATATATATGCATCCAACATCAGAGCACCCAAGTATGTAAAGCAAACATTGACAGAACTGAAAGGAGAAATAGGCAGCAATATAATAATAGGAGGCTTCAAAACCCCACTTTCAATAATGAACAGAAATTCCAGACAGAAGATCAACAAGGAAACAGAGGATTTGAATAACTCTATAGACCAAATGGACCTAACAGGCATATACAGAACATTCCACCCAACAGTGGCAGAATACACATCGTTCTCAGGTGCACATAGACCTTTCTCCAGGATAGATCATGTGTTAAGACACAAAACAAGTCTTAACTAACTTAAGAAGATTTAAATTATATCAAGTATCTTTTCTGACCACAATGGAATAAAACTAGAAATCAATAACAGTAGACAAACTAGAAAATTCACAAATAAGTAAAAATTAGACAGTATACTTTTGAACAACTATTGGGTTAAGAAAGAAATAAAAAATAAATTTGAAAATACAGCAACACAAATCAAAATGAAACACAATATATCAAAATTTATGGGATATGACAAAAGTAGTACTATGAGGGACGTTCACAGCAATAAACACTTACATTAATAGAGTAAAAATATCTCAAATAAACAACTAAGTTTCCATTTCAAAGAGGTAGAAAAAGAAGAACAAACTAAGACACAATTAAACTCTGGGAAATTTTTCCCATTGCAGGAAAGTTTATAAATCATAGTCCACATACATCTGGAATCCGCTCACTAGATAAATTGATGTTTTGGTGCTAACACCAAGAACAGTCTATCTTTTTTTTTTTTTTTTTTTTGTATTTTTCTCTTCTATGAGCCTCTAGATAGCAGGAAATCTCCACTATGATGTTTGATTGATATTAGCAATGTAAATCTAGATTATACCTGCACTGTGTTCCAGAAGCAACATTTTTATCAAAAACTAGAGATTTTCTTGTGTTTTCTACACTTTTTGTTATACAAACGCTGATTTTTATGTGATTTTGTGGGATCATCACAAATATGGGGCAAATAAGGGTCTAAAGATGGATAACTCAGCTTCAGAAATGCTAGTATCACACAGTGTTCATTATACCACTTTTCCCAGTGTTTTCTGTTGAACAATATGGATAGACTTAATGTGGAATGAAAACAGAATCGTGGATAAACCGTCTGATAAGGGGAAAATTTGACCTTAAAATTAAATTTAATTAATGGCCCTGTCTAACCCATTTCAGAGTTTCCTGGAGGTGAGAGATTCATATCTGAGCTTTCCACCTCTAATGAGGAGCGGCTTCATGAAGGAACGGACGGGATTGCTCCAGAAGGTCATTGATTTTCAGCCTCTAAAAGGACAACTGTAATCCTGGTTGATCTTAACTCTCAAATTTAATAAAATCAGTTTAAATATTTTAGACAGT
Source organism: Homo sapiens (assembly GCF_000001405.40). Taxonomy (NCBI): domain Eukaryota; kingdom Metazoa; phylum Chordata; class Mammalia; order Primates; family Hominidae; genus Homo; species Homo sapiens. The sequence continues at coordinate 85,492,008 of NC_000010.11, forward strand.
GTCAGGGGAGATCCAGTATTTCTGTGTGTTCACTTTGTCCATGGAAAAAGGATTTTATTTTACTACTCAGGAGGAGAAAACATTGTAGTGAAAAATTTCAGCTTGTCTCTGCACTCTTACAAATTTTCTCTTTCCATACTTAGAGTCCAGGATACTCACTAGGTTTGAATGAGCACTTAATTTGCCTCAAAAATGGAATCAGATTTCTCCTTCTCTCACTTCCTGATATCTAGGCCTCTTACAAGGATGTTGGACTCTTTGCTTTCTCAATCCATGCACTAAAACCAGGGCAAGTCTCTGCCCCTCGCACCCCCCTTCATAGGAGAGAGAACTGTTGGCCCTATCTTGGTTTCAGTTACCTAGAACTCCTGTATTTCAAGATTACAGGCACATCCTGGAAACATATTAGTCAGATAGGTATCTGTGCTTTTTGTTTTTACCCATTAGTACTCAAGAGAGAAGGCGGAGTATCTTTGTCACTCCCTCCCAACTTCAACAAAAGCAATTCTATAATTTAAGCTTCCAGAGATTCCAAATAAAAATTAGCTATGCAACAGTATTTTAATATAGAAACACATCCCCATAGAGATGAGCTTTGTCTTCTGTGAAGACATGGAGAGAAAGCAGGGGAGGACCTGAGGAGGGGCTGCTGGAAGGGAAGGAGACGGGTCAGGAAGCCTATTTTTTAGAGAGGGTAGTGCTGCATCATCCCGGCTGGGCCAGCCCTGGAGGGAGGTACGTGGGCTGGCTGTAGAATTAATTGAATTTCACAACTTGCCTCACATTCCTGCTGACACAAAGTGCCTTGTAAGGAGGGAGGCATCACAGGATGCCAACACAATGGCAAGACCAAGGTTGGGCACTGCTGTGAGCCTTTCTTTATACAACTCCTGGCTCAAAATAGCTTGCCTGTTAGCACCCCAGCTGAGAATCCCCACTGGCAAGGGAAGAAGAAGTGTGCCGTCTCTAAGATACAGCTGGCCCTCTGCTCTGAGATGAAGCCCTGGACCTGCAGAAGCCCTTCCCCTCTCAGAGCCCTAGAGGCCTCACCTATATAGAAGGTATTCTGACAACATGAATTTTAAGTTCCTTCCAGCTGTGACACTGCATTCATCTAATGATCTGAGAATCAACTCAAGACCTCTTTTAGCAACAGTTCCCCAGCTTCATTCATGTGCAGAATCAGTGTATACTTAGGACCCAAGCTCCCTGCCTTACTTCTCCCTTAGATATTAACCAAGGGCAGAACAGAGTTTTGCACCAGGCACCCTACAAGTCTTCACAAAGGTCACCATATGCAGTCTTCACAGCAATATTGTAAGGGATTAAGGTTGAGTCTCATTTTTTTAATAAGGAGATAACAGCTTACAGAATTTGGGAGGCTTGACCAATGCCAATAAATTTGTAAACAAAAGAGTTAGAATGTAAGTGTAAACTCTACAACTCCAGTGCAAGAGTCTGTTTCCACAACTCTTCTACTCACATAAACCTGAATTGCTTCTGTGACCCTTCCCTGTCCCGTGGCACTGCCTTTCTCAGTACCTGGCATAACATTGTTACTAAATACATGTTTATTACTGAATGGCTGTCTAAATGAATCTATGATTTATCGGGTTAAATATATTAGAGCATTTGATCAGTAAGCGGAAGCATTATTGCAAATAACATTTCTTGCCAACAAATTCTGATTTATCAAATAATATTTCTAAGAATACTCCTGCACGACCTTCACTTATTCATGTATTCATGCATTCAAAAAATGGCACCTACAAGACGCTAGGCACTATGCCAGAGGTTGGTTCAAAGAAGAAATACTCCCAGAATACATAGCACAAACTGTCTTGTGGGAGGACAGCCTAAATAAAATGAATATGCAATTACAATGTGGATATGTGCTGTGAGGGAAAGTTGCCCTCAGAGCTGAGAATGTGCCCTGGGGAGTCAGAGTGTGCTTTCCTGCATACTTGGCAATTCCACTGAGATTTACAGGATATATAGTATTAGCCACGTGAGGGAGGCTGAGAGTATAATCATTTTATGCAGCAGACAGCATGGGCAGAGGTGCTCCAGTAGGATGAACAGTGGTCCACTATGTGAACAGAAAGAAGGCTCTGGAGGCTGAGATGAGCCTGACAACGTGCTGACACCCATAACTCACAGAGGACAGAGATAGCTTCTAATACTCATACCTGAAAAGCTTCTCATACTTATGCTCATCTGGACCTACTTCAAGCATCCTTTCTCTGGAGAGCTGATTTTTTTAAAGGCCAATCACTCCATTCATGGCCTGCAGCTCACGCCCACCATCTTCAAATATTTCAACATTTTTAGTTTTTTCTGGGTTCAGCCTCATTGATATCCCTTTCTCTTTTGCAGAATTACCATTAGTATATAAACATACTCTAATATCTCCTATCTAAAAGAAAGAAGAAAAATTTCCATTAATGCTTTTATTTCCTTAACATCTGCCATACAGTTGCTCCCCTTCCTTCCTTCCTTCCTTCCTCTTTCTTTCCTTTCTTTCTCTTTCTTTCTTTTCTTGCTTCCTTGCTTTCTTGATTTCTTCCTTGTTTTCTTGCTTTCTTTCTTGTTTTGAGACTGGGTCTTGCTCCATCACCCAGGCTGGAGTGCAGTGGCCCGATCTTGGCCCACTGTAGCCTTGACCTCTCTGGGCTCAGGTTATCCTCCAACCTCAGTCTCCCAAGTAACAGAGACCACTGGTGCATGCCACCACACCCAACTAATTTTTGTACTTTTTTATAGAGATGGGGTTTTGCCATGTTGTGCAGGCTGGTCTTGAACTCCTGGGCTCAATAATCCTCCCACCTTGGCCTCCCAAAGTGCTAGGATTACAGGTGTGAGGCACTGTACCTGGCTTCTCTTTCTTTTTATAAATAAAATTCATTATAAATTTGTCTTCATAAGCAGTTTCTCATGTCCCATTCTCTTTCTTTCTCTCTCTCTCTGTATGTCTGTCTCTGTCACACACACACGCGCGCGCGTTTTTAAAATTGGGAAATATTACACACATTTAGAAAAAGGCAACAACCAATTAATTGTCACCCAGGACGAAAATAGAACAATAGAACAGTGTCAGCTCTCAGAAGCCCTCCCTCTGCCCTTCCCAGTTCTCTCCACTTCAAAATTAATCACTATTCTTAATTTTACTTGTGCACTTTCTTACTTTGCTTTGTAGTTTTTACCACCTATGCATGCATTCTTAAATGCTATAGTTTAGCTTACCTGGTATTGCCTGATGTTTTAAATTTGCATAAACGTAACCATATGGTAGGAAATTATTTGTATTTAGCGTCTTTCTATCAGCATCATGTTTGTGGGAGTTATCCATGTTATTGCACAAAGCTGTAATTTATACATTTTTACTGATGAAAAGTCTTGCATTATATGAACATGCCTCTCTCTCCATTCTATTTCTGAAAAACGTTGGATTATTTCCAATTTAGGGTTCTTATAAATAATGCTGTAATGAACACCCTTGCACACATCTGTTAGTACATATCTGTAGACATTCATTTTGGATGTATGTAGGTGTGAAAGTGAGGGATCACAGACTTTACATACATTCAACTTTCATAGATAATAAAAAATGTTTTTCAAAATATTTATACCTACTTACATATCTACTGAGAGTGTTTGAAGAGTGCCTGTTGTTCCACATTATATTTGTCAGGACTTAGAATCATTACTCTTTTTTCTGTTAGTCATTCTGGTGGTGAAATGTTGTATTGCCTGTTATTTAAATTTGCATTTCTTTGATTACTATCTAAACTTCTAAAAATAAATTTATTTGCCAATTGGACACATACTTTGGTAACGTGCTTGTTCAGATCTCTTGTACATTTTTCTATTCGACAGTCTTTTTTTAATGAATTTGCTAAGAGTAGTTTTACATTCTGTATATGAGCTCAGCAGTGGTTAGATGGGCTGCAAATATATTCTCCCACACTGTAGCTCACTATTTTTGTTTCTTAATATTGCCTTTTGTAAATAACAGTGTTTAATTATAATATAATGCCATTTTACAACATTTTCCTTTTTACTAAATATGTATGTCTTATTTTAAATAGGTTTTTTGACACCAAGGTTATGAGCGTATTTGTATATATTATCTTCTAGAAGGCTTACCATTTTACAATTCATATGTAGATTTGCAGCTCCCCTGAAATTTATTTTTGTGCTAAGTACAATTTCGTTTTTGTTCATTTGCATATTCGGTTGACCCAGCACCCTTTATTAAAAAATGTTTTCTTTTCCTACTGTTCTATAATTCTTCTTTTGTTTAAAGAAACTGACAATTTATAAGTAGGAATAAATCTGGGCTGTTTATCATTTCTTTGGTCTATATGTATGCCTTTATAATAATACCATAATGCATTATGTATGATATTTGGGACAGAATTCTTTATAAATATTCTTTTTCAGATCAAGGTGATTCTGTTTTATTCCTATTTTGCTAAGACATCAAAGATGAATAAATGTTAAATTTTATCAACATTTTTGCATCTGTTGAAATGATCGTAGAATATTTCTTAGTCTGTTAGCATGGTAAATCACATTATTTGATTTTTTAATATTTAAACCACCTGGAATTAACCCAACATGGGCGTGAAGATTCATACTTTTCATATATGTTATGAGCTATATTTGCAGAAATATAGCTATATATTGCAGAAATATAGGCCTTTTGGATCTTTCTTCTTCAAGAATGAGATTGTACTTTATTTTTCATTAACCTAAGGTACATGTCAAATTGGAATATTAAGGTTATTCTGGACACAGATAACAAACACAGTAGTAATCCTTGTGTCTCTTTTGGAAAAATCTTATTCTAAATAACAGAAAGAAAGCTTTTAACCATTGTTATTATTTTTGCCTAAATATTACTAGAATTTTCTAAGGACATTCCATGTAAGTATTAACTTTTCTTTGTTGGAAGGTTTTAAATTGCAGGACTCATCTGTCTTAACATTTAGAGGACTCTTGATTGTTTTTCTTTCATCAACTTTAGCATTTTCTTTTTCTAGATATTTTACAATTTAGTCTACATTTTAAAATTTGTTATAATAACAAGTCATCACATATTCTTATTATCTAGTGTTTTGGCATTTATATCAACACTTCTTTTCGTTATTAAAAGCAAACCTTCGAGTCTTCTGTTTTGTTGTCAGAGTCTTAACAATTTTGTTAATCTTTTCAAAAAAAAACTTTTAACTTTTTAATCCCTTCCCTGCGTGTATTTCAATTTACTTATTTTCACTTGTCTCTTTATCATTTCCTTCTCTAAGCTTTATGTGAGTTTCACTTGTTTTACTCTTTCTTTCTTTCTTTCTGACATGGATGCTTAGGTCACCAGTTTTTCAGCTTTTATTCTTTTATGATATTTGCATTTTATATTTTACATTTATCTTTAATTATGTGTTGCTTATAGTCCAAAAGTTTGATATATGACAGTTTAATTATCATTCAGCTCAAATAATTTCTAATTATATTTGATCTCTATGTAGAAGCATACATTCAAAACCATGCTTCTTAATTTTTAGACAAATGGGAACATCTTAGTTATTTTTCTGTTATTGAGTTCTGGCTTAATATCACTGTGGTCAATGAGCCTACTCTGTAGAATGTCACTCCTTTGAAATTTATTGAGATTTCCTTTATGGCCCAGCATGTGGTCAATGTTGGTAAATGTTCCATGTGTACTTGAAAATAATGTTTATTCTGTATTTGTTGGGTGCAGTGTTCTATATGTTGCATATTCTGTCACATGTGCTGATTATTTTGTTTAAATCTTTTTTATCCTTACTGATTATTTTGCCTGCTTGTTTTATCAGTTACTGAGAGATGAAAGTTGAAATTTTGAATATGGTTTGGGTTATCCTATTTCTCTCTTTACTTCCGTCAGTCTTTGCATTAAATTCAAAGCTCTAATAGTAGGAGCATACACATTAGAATTGATAATTGAACTTCTGGCATGATGAAATGTCAATCTCTAACTGAATATCTCCAGATCTGACCATTCTCTTGAACTCCACACTCATCCATCCAATTGCTCACTCAATAGCTCCACTTGATGGCCTAGTGAGCTTTCAAAATATCACATATCTGAAACAGATGTCCTGATTATCTTTCTTAAACTCTTAACTTTCTTAAACTTCCTCCAGATTTCCTTCTTTCAATAAATAGCACTACCATTTCTCCACTTACTCAAACCATAAACTTAGAAATACTTCATGATGTCCCTCTTTCCCTCAAGCTTTTCAAGGCCTTATACTGTGGCCTGCAAAGCTCTACATGATCTGACATTTTGTCTTCTACCTTGTTTTGTGTTGTTCTCCTGTAATACTATATTCTACTACATTACCTTTTTCAAGTTTCCATAGTCTTTTCCAACACAGGATATTTGCACACACTATTCTGTATACATGGACTTCTCTTGCCTCTGTCACGCAACAGCATTATTTTTCTTCTTTAAAAGAAAGCCCTCAGAATGGACCTTCTTGTCCACTTGGGTTTTTTAATCATCTCATTATCTCATTGGCTCCCATTATTGTCAATATACCTTGAAATTATTTTATATGTCTTTTTCTTTGATTTTGCTTGTTTCTCCCAGTAGAAATAGCTTCTTAACAAAAGAATTGCATTTTATTTGCTGTTTTCTGTACCTCCATTGGCTTGAATAATGCTTCATACAGAGAAAGCTCTCAACAGATAACTGTTAAATGAAAAAACCAACAAATGGTTAAAAGTCCTTTTAAAACGTTGAGTCTTATTGTAATAAGGAGGAAAATTTTGAAGGCAGTAAAATTGCAGAGGGTTTGACATGATCTTTTTACATTTTGAAAAGATTATTCTGGCTGATGTGTGGAGAATGTTTCAGAGGAAAGCAAGCATGAATGTATGAAAGCCAGTCCACATAAGAATTGCTGTCCACGTAACCTAGGTTTATGATAGTTAAGATGGAGAGAACCTTTGGTGTGAGGGAGAAACTGGTTGTTAAAGAATGACAGTTACATTTTTTCTTTTTTTCTTTTTATTATACTTTAAGTTTTAGGGTACATGTGCACAACGTGCAGGTTTGTTACATATGTATACATGTGCCATGCTGGGGTGCTGTACCCATTAACTCATCATTTACATTAGGTATCTCCTAATGCTATCCCTCCCCCATTCACTCACCCTACGACAGGCTCCAGTGTGTGATGTTCCCCACCATGTGTCCAAGTGTTCTCATTGTTCAATTCCCACCTATGAGTGAGAACATGCGGTGTTTGGTTTTCTCTCCTTGCGATAGTTTGCTCAGAATGATGGTTTCTAGCTTCATCCATGTCCCTACAAAGGACATGAACTCATCCTTTTTATGGCTGCATAGTATTCCATGGTGTATATGTGCCACATTTTCTTAATCCAGTCTATCACTGATGGACATTTAGGTTGGTTCCAAGTCTTTGCTATTGTGAATAGTGCCACAATAAACATACGTGTTCATGTGTCTTTATAGTAGCATGATTTATAATCCTTTGTGTATATACCCAGTAATGGGATTGCTGGGTCAAATGGTATTTTTAGTTCTAGACCCTTGAGGAATCGCCGCACTGTCTTCCACAATGGTTGAACTAGTTCACACTCCCACCAACAGTGTAAAATTGTTCCTATTTCTCCACATCCTCTCCAGCATCTGTTGTTTCCTGACTTTTTAATGATCACCATTCTAACTGGTGTGAGATGGTATCTCATTGTGGTTTTGATTTGCATTTCTCAGATGACCAGTGATGATGAGGATTTCTTCATGTGTTTGTTGGTTGCATACATTTCTTTTTTTGAGAAGTGTCTCTTCATATCCTTTGCCCACTTTTTGATGGGGTTGTTTGATTTTTTCTTGTAAATTTGTTTAAGTTTATTGTAGATTCTGGATATTAGCCCTTTGTCAGATGGGTAGATTGCAAAAATTTTCTCCCATTCTGTAGGTTGCATGTTCACTCTGACAGTAATGTCTTTTGCTGTGCAGAAGCTCTTTAGTTTATTTAGACCCTATTTGTCTACTTTGACTTTTGTTGCCATTGCTTTTGGTGTTTTAGTCATGATGTCCTTGCCCATACCTATGTCCTGAATGGTATTGCCTAGGTTTTCTTCTAGGGTTTTTATGGTTTTAAGTTTAACGTTTAAGTCTCTAATCCATCTTGAATTAATTTTTGTATAAGGTGTAAGGAAGGGATCCAGTTTCAGCTTTCTACATATAGCTAGCCAGTTTTCCCAGCACCATTTATTAAATAGGGAATCTTTTCCCCATTTCTTGTTTTTGTCAGGTTTGTCAAAGATCAGATGGTTGTAGATGTGTGGTGTTATTTCTGAGGCCTCTGTTCTATTCCATTGGTCTATATCTCTGTTTTGGTACCAGTACCATGCTGTTTTGGTGACTGTAGCCTTGTAGTATAGTCTGAAGTCAGGTAGCGTGATGCCTCCAGCTTTGTTCTTTTCCCTTAGGATTGTCTTGGTAATGCAGGCTCTTTTTTGGTTCCATATAAACTTTAAAGTAGTTTTTTTTTTCCGATTCTCTGAAGAAAGTCATTGGTAGCTTGATGGGGATGGCATTAAATCTATCAATTACCTTTGACAGTATGGCCATTTTAACAATGTTGATTCTTCCTATCCATGAGCATGGAACGTTCTTCCATTTGTTTGTGTTCTCTTTTATTTCATTGATCAGTGGTTTATAGCTCTCCTTGAAGTGGTCCTTCACATCCCTTGTAAGTTGGATTCCTAGGTATTTTATTCTCCTTGTAGCAATTGTGAATGGGAGTTCACTCATGATTTGGCCCTTGTTTGTCTGCTATTTGTGTATAGGAATTCTTGTGATTTTCGCAGATTGATTTTGTGTCCTGAGATTTTGCTGAAGTTGCTTATCAGCTTAAGGAGACTTTGGGCTGAGGCCATGGGGTTTTCTAAATATACAATCATGTCATCTTCAAACAGGGACAATTTGACTTCCTCTTTTCCTAATTGAATACCCTTTATTTCTTTCTCTTGCCTGATTGACCTGGCCAGAACTTCCAACACTATGTTGAATAGGATGGTGAGAGAGGGCATCCCTGTCTTGTGCCAGTTTTCAAAGGGAATGCTTCCAGTTTCTGCCCATTCAGTATGATATTGGCTGTGAGTTCGTCATAAATAGCTCTTATTATTTTGAGATACATTCCATCAATACCTAATTTATCGAGAGTTTTTAGCATGAAGTGCTGTTGAATTTTGTTGAAGGCGTTTTCTGCATCTATTGAGATAATTATGTGGTTTTTATCTTTGGCTTTTTATGTGATGGATTACGTTTATTGATTTGCATATGTTGAACCAGCCTTGCATCCCAGGGATGAAACCAACTTGATCATGGTGGATAAGCTTTTTGATGTGCTGCTGGATTTGGTTTGTCAGCATTTTATTGAGGATTTTTGCATAGATGTTCGTCAGAGATATTGGTCTAAAATTCTCTTTTTTTGTTGTGTCTCTACCAGGCTTTGGTATCAGGATGATGTTGGCCTCAAAAAATGAGTGAGGGAGGATTCCCTCTTTGTCTATTGATTGGAATTGTTTCAGAAGGAATGGTACCAGCTCTTCTTTGTACCTCTGGAAGAATTCGGCTGTGAATCCATCTGGTCCTGGACTTTTTTTGGTTTGTAAGCTATTAATTATTGCCTCAATTTCAGAGCCTGTTATTGGTCTATTCAGGGATTCAACTTCTTCCTGGTTTAGTCTTGGGAGGGTGTATGTGTCCAGGAATTTAGCCATTTCTTCTAGAATTTCTAGTTTATTTGTGTAGAGGTGTTTATAGTATTCTCTGATGGTAGTTTGTATTTCTGAGGGATCAGTGGTGATATCCCCTTTATCATTTTTTATTGTGTCTATTTGATTCTTCTCTTTTCTTCTTTATTAGTCTTGCTAGTCGTCTATCAGTTTTGTTGATTTTTTCAAAAAACCAGCTCCTGGATTCATTGATTTTTTGAAGGGTTTTTTTGTGTCTCTCTCTCCTTCAGTTCTGCTCTGATCTTAGTTATTTCTTGTCTTCTGCTAGCTTTTGAATTTGTTTGCTCTTGCTTCTCTAGGCCTTTTAATTGTGAAGTTAGGGTATCGATTTTAGATCTTTCCTGCTTTCTCTTGTGGGCATTTAGTGCTATAAATTTCCCTCTACACACTGCTTTAAATGTGTCCCAGAGATTCTGATACATTGTGCCTTTGTTCTCATTGGTTTCAAAGAATATCTTTATTTCTGCCTTCATTTCATTACTTACCCACTAGTCGTTCAGGAGCAGGTTGTTCAGTTTCCATGTAGTTGTGTGGTTTTGCGTCTAAGTTGCTTAATCCTGAGTTCTAATTTGATTGCACTGTGGTCTGAGAGACAGTTTGTTGTGATTTCTGTTCTTTTACATTTGCTGAGGCGTGCTTTACTTCCAACTATGTGGTCAATTTTGGAATAAGTGCAATGTGGTGCTGAGAAGAATGTATATTCTGTTGATTTGGAGTGGAGAGTTCTGTAGATGTCTATTAGGTCTGCTTGGTGCAGAGCTGATTTCAAGTCCTGGATATCCTTGTTACCCTTCTGTCTCATTGATCTGTCTAATATTGACAGTGGGGTGTTAAAGTCTCCCATTATTATTGTGTGGGAGTCTAAGTCTCTTTCTAGGTCTCTAAGGACTTGCTTTATGAATCTGGGTGCTCCTGTATTGGGTGCATATATATTTAGGATAGTTAGCCCTTCTTGTTGAATTGATCCCTTTACCATTATGCAATGGCCTTCTTTGTCTCTTTTGATCTTTGTTGGTTTAAAGTCTGTTTATCAGAGACTAGGATTGCAACCCCTGCTTTTTTTTTTTTTTTTTTTTTTGCTTTTCCATTTTGCTTTCCATTTGCTTTATTTTGAGCCTATGTGTGTCTCTGCACATGAGATGGGTCTCCTGAATACAGCACACTGTTTGTTCTTGACTCTTTATCCAATTTGCCAGTCTGTGTCTTTTAATTAGTGCATTTAGCCCATTTACGTTTAAGATTAATATTGTTATGTGTGAATTTGATCCTGTCATTATGATGTTAGCTGGTTATTTTGCCCATTAGTTGATGCAGTTTCTTCCTAGCATCGATGGTCTTTACAATTTGGCATGTTTTTGCAATGGCTGCTACCAGTTGTTCCTTTCCATGTTTAGTGCTTCCTTCAGGAGCTCTTGTAAAGCAGGCTTGGTGGTGACAAAATCTCTCAGCATTTGCTTGTCTGTAAAGGATTTTATTTCTCCTTCACTTATGACGCTTAGTTTGGCTGGATATGAAATTCTGGGTTGAAAATTCTTTTCTTTAAGAATGTTGAATATTGCCCCCCACTTCTTGTTTGTAGGGTTTCTGCTGAGAGATCCACTGTTAGTCTGATGGGCTTCCCTTTGTTGGTAACCCGACCTTTCTCTCTGGCTGCCCTTAACAGTTTTTCCTTCATTTCAGCCTTGGTGAATCTGACAATTGTGTGTCTTGCGGTTGCTCTTCTCGAGGAGTATCTTTGTGGTGTTCCCTGTATTTTCTGAATTTGAATGTTGGCCTGCCTTGCTAGGTTGGGGAAGTTTTCCTGGATAATATCCTGAAGAGTGTTTTCCAGCTTGGTTCCATTCTCTCTGTCACTTTCAGGTACACCAATCAAACATAGATTTGGTCTTTTCACATAGTCCCATATTTCTTGGAGGCTTTGTCCCTTTCTTTTTACTCTTTTTTCTCTAAACTTCTTGCTTCATTTCATTCATTTGATCTTCAGTCACTGATACCCTTTCTGCCACTTGATCAAATCGGCTACTGAAGTTTATGCATGCATCATGTAGTTCTTATACCATGGTTTTCAGCTCCATGAGGTCATTTAAGGTCTTCTCTACACTGTTTATTCTAGTTAGCCATTTGTCTAATATTTTTTCAAGGTTTTTAGCTTCCTTGTGATGAGTTCAAACACCCTCCTTTAGCTCAGAGAAGTTTGTTATTACTGACCTTCTGAAGCCTACCTCTGTCAACTCGTCAAAGTCATTCTCCGTACAGCTTTGCTCCATTGCTGGCGAGGAGCTGTGATCCTTTGGAGGAGAAGAGATGCTCTGGTTTTTGGAATTTTCAGCTTTTCTGCTCTGGTTTCTCCCCATCTTTGTGATTTTATCTGCCTTTGGTCTTTGATGATGGTGACCTACAGGTAGGATTTTGGTGTGGATGTCCTTTTTGCTGATCTTGATGTTATTCCTTTCTGTTTGTTAGTCTTCCTTCTAACAGTCTGGTCCCTCAGTTGCAGGTCTGTTCAAGTTTGCTGGAGCTCTACTCCAGACCCTGTTGCCTGGGTATCACCAGCAGAGGGTGCAGAACAGCAAATATTACAGAACAGCAAATATTGCTGCCTGATCCTTCCTCTGGAAGCTTCATCTCAGAGGGGCACCCAACTGTATGAGATGTCAGTCAGCTCCTACTTGGAGGTGTCTCCCAGTTAGGCTACACGGGGGTCTGGGACCCACTTGAGGAGGCAGTCTATCTGTTCTCAGAGCTCAAACACCATTCTGGGAGAACCACTGCTCTCTTCAGAGCTGTCAGACAGGGACGTTTAAGTCTGCAGAAGTTTCTGCTGCCTTTTGTTCAGCTATGCCCTGCCCCCAGAGATGGAGTCTACAGAGGCAGGCAGGCCTCACTGAGCTGCGGTGAGCTCCACCCAGTTAGAGCTTCCAGGCCACTTTGTTTACCTACTCAAGCCTCAGCAATGGCAGACGCCCCTCCCCCAGCCAGGCTGCCGCCTCACAGCTCAATCTTGGCCTGCTGCGCTAGCAGTCAACAAGGCTCCATGGGCTGGGGACCTGCCGAGCCAGGTGCAGGATATAATCTCCTGGTGTGCCGTTTGCTAAGACCATTGGAAAAGCACAGTATTTGGTTGGCAGTGTCCCGATTTTCCAGCTACAGTATGTCACGACTTCCCTTGGCTCAGAAAGGGAAATCCCCAGATCCCTTGCACTTCCCGGGTGAGGCGATGCCCTGCCCTGCTTTGGCTTGCCCTCCATGGGCTGCACCCACTGTCCAACCAGTCCCAATGAGATGAACCAGGTACCTCATTTGGAAATGCAGAAATCACCCATCTTCTGTGTTGACCATGCTGGGAGCTGCAGACTGCTGTTCCTATTCAGCCATCTTGGAACTGGCTCCCTACATTTTTTTCTTTATGCAACTGAATGCTTATGCTTACTCTAAGGTAAGGAACACTGGGAGAGACTACTATTGGAAGGGAAGACTGTAAGTTTCAACTTGGAGATACTGAGTCTGAGGTATCTAAGAGATGCCCAAGGGAAAAAATGAAACAGGAAATAGGAGATTGGTCATACTTAAGTGGCCACATGTTTAGGTTTATTTCAGACAGTAAAGTTTATGCCAATTGTGCCAGTGAAATACAATTTATAGTGCCTTCCCCCACTCCTAAAATTAGTTCTTTAGGTATATGGCATCAGAACTTGATCAGAGCTGAAGACATATTTGGTAGTCTTCTGCATCTGAATTTAAGTACTGGGAATAGATTTTGTTACTTAAGGAGACAGCATCAAGTGAGAAAAGAAAAGAATCAAGGACGACGGCTTTAAAATTCCAATAACAATATTGAGAACATTGAGTCTACAAAGGAGGTAAAGATATGCCTAGTTTTGTGGAAAGACAAAAAAAGAGATAATAATTTCTACATGTTTCTGTAAAAAATAGCAAATGGCTCTAAGTTGACAGAGCCTTGATAAAAATTAAAATTGATAAATGATATTAATATGTTTGATTCTAAGATCCTCCCATCTCTTCCAAAATATTAGTTTCTGAGGCAGCACTGGTATATCACTAGAAGAGAGGAATCAAAACATGGTAAAAAGGAGAGAAAAGGCCAAGAAGGAGCAATGTTGATTGCTGCGCCAGGAAGGAGATCTAGTCATTCTATTTGGTGAAGCAGATTGTAAGGAGGTTTGGACAGATGTAAATTTCAAGCTGGAAATACTCCAGACCATCTCCAGAGCCACAGGACATCCACAACATGTACAATAATGCCAGGGACACAGCCGAATCTTTATGAATAGTGTCAATTGAGAAGCTAATTTATTTGCTTGGCACCTAATTCTTCTGTGTTTTCATACCAATTGTGGCAGGCAGAATAATGGACCCTCAAAGTTGCCCCCATCCTAATTCCCCAACCTGTGAATACCTTACACAGCAAATGGAATTTTGGATACGTGATTAGGTTAAGAAAATTGAGATGGGAAGGTTACTCTGCATGATCTGAGTGGGACTAATACAATCACGAGAATCTTTACAAGAGGATGGTAGGAGTATCAGGGTAAGAGACAGATTCGAAGATGCTAGTCAGCTGCCTTTGAAAAATAGAGGAAGAGACCCTGAGCCAAGGAATGTGAATGGCATCTAGAAGCTGGAAAAGATAAGGACAGGGATTCTTCCCTAGAGCCTCCAGAAGGAGCACAGCTTGGTTTGGCACCTTGGTTTTAGCTCAGTAAGACTCATTTGGAACTTTTGGCTTCCAGAAATGTAAGAGAATAAATCCATGCTGTGTTAGGGCATTACGCTTGTGGTAATTTATTACAATAGCAATAGAAAATGAACCTATCAACACACCCGGGAATGTAAACTGATAAGCACTTTTTCATGCTCTGAAATCAGAAGCAATGAATTCTTTTCAGAAAACTCTTTTCAAGTATTTAAGTTTCTGCATGCTAACTGGGACTGAGTCTCAGAAGATGACACAGGCAAATATTTACACACAAATTTAGATTTTTAAACCAATAATGAATGGAAAATTTGATTCCACAAAAGAATTACTTACCTTGAATCACATAGCCAGGCATTGATAAATTAGCAGTAGAATCCAAGTCGCCTTAAATCCCCACCAGTGCATATAGTTTCCTACTGACTTTTATTTACTGAACCTGTGTACGTTCTTCTAAATCAACTAAACACAGTTCACTTTGAAAGGAATGTTTCATTCCTCTGTAGAACTACTGGTTTATAATTTATATTGTAGGGTAAAACAATAGTTAAAAGGTATAGCCCATGGCATAGAGAAATTTCTATTCATTTATTCAGTCACTCATTTAATCCATAATTCATTTATTTATTCATTCAACATCATGCAAGTGTGAGGGGCTACGATATGCCAGACACTGCTATAGAGACTGGACATAATGTTGACTAGGACAGACAAGAGTTCTATTATCACAGAATTTTTATTCTAGGAGGAAAAGACAGATAATAAACACCCAAAGTAAATAATAAGCTGCCAACTAATGATAATGGCCGTATTGTGATAGGCGTACCGGAGGTCTGGAGTGGTCACAAGAGTCTCTCTAAGGAGATAATATTTAAGTTTATGCCTAAATGAACAGAAAAATCCAGACACAGGAAATAACATTTTAGGTAGAAGAAATAACAATAGCCACAGGGAGCTGTGTGGTCCCATGGATTTAATTTGCGTTACGGACTGCAATGTACTGAGTAAGACAGACATGTCTGTAAATTATGGTTTTATTACAAATTGGATATGTCATCGCAGGTAAGTTATTTATCTGAGACTCAACTTCTTTATCTCTAAAATGGGGTTATTAAACATACTCCAGTGAGTTGTGGTAAAGAATAAATTAGATAGTATTTGTGGACGTGCTTAGCATATAGTAGAAAGCTCAATGCATTGTATACTTTTTTCCTTTGAAAGAGAAGGCACATAATGCTTACTCTGGCACAATTCTTATTTCAAAGAGATCCTCTTAAAACATTCAAATGGATATAGGGGAGTGGAGTCAGAGGAAAAGATCCGGGGGAATTGCAGTCTATTCACAGCTGAGAGAAGAGAGTGAATGGTGCGATTGGGTGGTAGTCAGTCATGCTGAAGAAACATCTCCAATCAAGGAGAGAAAGGTTCAAAATAAAATACAGTGAATAGAAAATAGCGGGTTGTGCTGATCTGGTGGTGAAAATCACAGAATTTGGACATCACTCAACTCCAATTCATCAGTTTAAAAGCAATGTCCTTCCTTTGATTATTTTCCCAAACCAGCTAATTAAAAATGTCTTTGCCCAGTGAGAGACCATGATTGACAACAACCATCTCTTAAAGCTACAACTATTTAACAGTGTGTTTCCTTTATTCTAACATTTGCACTTATAATGGATGAGTTGTCATCACTGTGAAATTATCTGAGCACAACCTAGTGTATGTTGCAATGCCCTCCCTTGTCTCTCTGGGATAGTAAGCAGCAAGCCCTTACTGGTGAGCAGGCTGAGGTCAGCCACGGCAGAGTTGGGGCTAATGGCTCAATACCAACAGCTCACAATGTTGCTTGTCAAGCACCATTAGGAGGCACAGTCCCAGGGCTAGCTGCAGGAAACTCAACAGTCATTCCTAGGAGTAGTGCCCAGAGCAGTTCCCTGGAGAAGCCCAAGAAATCCAGGCTCCGAGGGGGCAAATGGAAATGTTATTAAATGTCTGTCTTGTGTCAGATCCTCCTCAGGGGACTATGAAGAATGCAAAATTCAGCAAGCATTCAGCATTTCTATGCTTTCTTTTCTTAAAGTTCAGACTTCTTTATCTCATGATCACTACTCAACCAATACAATCTATCTTCCATTACCACCACTCACCAAAACCGATCTCCCTAATGCCAAACAGAGTGCCCACATCTCAGATGCCTACAAAGGCAAGGTGTTGACCTTCTTACCACCGTCCTCTCCCTTGGACAATATGATAAACAAAATATCATTTTCTTGCTACTTCTTTGTTATGTATTAGTCTCCATTTCTAGGTGTTTGCCTTTACCTGGCCATTAGATATGTTGGTCTCCAAACAAGAATTTTGAGTCTCTTCTATTCTATCTTTGCATGCTCCTCCTGACAACACAAACATGACCATGGAACCAGTCACCAACCAAATGTTGAACACCCATTCTGGCAGAAACATTTGTGCCACCTCAAAATTCACAGACGTGCATGGGTTGTGAATAGACAAATGAGCATGGGTTTTTTCTCTTGACAGCTCAGGACGTCAAAGAGACACTACATCAGCTGTCCATCTTGCAACCTAAACACAGACTATACAAAGGGGATTATAATAAGTCTAGAGGCATTTTATCTAAATCTCCAACTTATTTGCAAATACTTTAGCAATTTTATAATTTGAATCAACATAAGTCCTGATCCCATGATAAGAAAAAGCACATGTAACTCACACATCAATTGGCATTTCCTGGCCTTTTGATACCTTGTTAAGATCATCTAGAATCTTCATTCAATATTTTGTGGAATATTAACTTTCTCAGAGATTGTTTTTAAATACATAAGAGACCAAGGCTTTCATGACAGCCTTTACCTAGTTTCATTACTTTCTCTCTCTTTTCTTTTTTTTTTTTTTTTTTTTGAGACAGAATCTCACTCTATCACTCAGGCTGGAGTGCAGTGGCACCATCTCCTCTCACTGCAACCTCTGCTTCCCAAATGCAAGTGATTCTAGTGCCTCAGCCTCCCAAGTAGGTGGGATTACAGGGATGCTCCACCACACCCGGCTAATTTTTGTATTTTTAGTAGAGACAGCGTTTCACCTTGTTGGCCAGGCTGGTCTCAAGCCCGTGACCTCAGCTTCCCAAAGTGCTGGGATTACAGATGTGAGTTACTGTGCCCAGCCAATTACTTACTCTTTCTATAAATGTTGTTTCTAGTTTCACAGCATGGTGTTGTGAAAAACAATCACTTAGATTTTACTCTCTCTCCTCTCTTCTCTCTCACACACACACACAGGCACACGCACACCACAAACTTACACACATCTTCATTCTTAGATACAGACTTCACTGACAGTTGTGTCTGTTTGAGTGTGTGATGAGCTTTACAAATGTTGGTTGTAGATGAGAATAAGGAGACTAAGAAAAGTTTTAACCCAGCAGCAGTGCAAAACAATAGACATCTTTATTCTTAAATTTTCTTCTCTTTGGTATTTCTTATCCAGATGAGATATCATAGGCCAGTGTCTCCTTGATTCTCTCCACTAAGAATAACTATAACTGCTGAAAATAATGCAAGAAGCACTCAACAAGAACTCTAAAGCATATAAAGAGAAAGGCATACTGGTGAGGGAACCCAGAACCGGAAGAGCAATCTACTGGCAGGGAAAACTTCAGTCCCCCTACCCCACCCAACAAAGGAAAGCAATCCAGGCTTAATTTCTTCCAGCCCTCATCTTAACAGCAGAGAGCAGCCCAGGTAGGATCATTCTTCTGCTGGGTTGAACGGGGGTCCCTCTGACAACAATGGTTGTCACTTTCTGAGTCATTATTATGCCTTGATGCAGACTGAGTACCTGGTGAGGGAAAGCAAGTGACCTTGTAAACGTCACAAACTGGGTACTTTGTGTGCAGCAAATTATTCCAGTTATAGCTGCATGCAGAAAGAGCACTGAAAGACAGTGGGGAAGGAGTCAGACTTCAAGTGATGCATCTGTTTATCTACCTTCACTTAAGGATACGTGGCTAAATGGGTAAATCGCTACTGATTCAAGGGCAGTGGCTAATAATTTGGCCAACTGGTTAGGACAAGTGAGGATACTTGTTTCCTAAATGCAAGGTATACTCTGCAAAGGAGGCTTTCCCATATCCGATAGGCAAGATAGTTCACTGCATGGATAACAAACCTCTTTCCTTAGCTATCCTTTTACTTGATTGATGGGTCCATGAGTAAAGTGGCTATGGTGCACTGACGGAAAGTAAGCACAGGTCTAACGACTTGAATTTCCCTTCACCAAAGCTGATCTGGCTTCTACACTTGCTGACTACCCAGTCTGCCAACAGCACCACCCAGTGCTGGGCCCCTGATCCAGCACCTTTCGCTATCAGTTATCAAATTCATTAGATCCCTTCCATTATGAAGGGAGCAGGGGAACAGGCTTTATCTTCACAAGAAGAGACATGTATTCTGGATATGGATCTGTCTTCCCCATTTGAAATGCTCCTTCCAATACAGCCTTTTACAGTGTCATATATGGTCCCTTCGTAGCATTATTTCTGACCAAGGACTTTTTTTTTTTTACAGCAATATAAGTTTGCCGATGAACTCGTGCCCATGAAATTATCTGCTCAAATAACATACTCTATCACCCAGAAGCAGCTGGTCTGATAGAATGGCAGAATGCCTGACTGAACACTTAGTTTAGGTGCCAACATCCTGTAAGTGAGGACTGCTGCCTGTAGGATGTGACATACACTCTGAACCAGCAGCCAAAATATGTTGTTGCTTCTCCCATCCCCACACAACATGGATCCAGTACCTACCCAAGGGGTACTACCTATCAATCCATTTGACTTGCAACCTAGTGACCTGAGATCTTCCAGGTGCAGAGGTCTTTATTTCCAAAGGAAAAACGCTGCCACAGGATGCTTACCAACAATTCCATTGAGTTGGAAGTTGAGGTCGTCTTCTGGACACCCTGTGCTCTTCAGGCCACTGTACTTCTAGGTGGAGAATGGGGTAGTGTTCCTAACTGGAGTTATTTATACCAATTAACATATGAGCAATGGTATACTTCTACCAAATAAAATGGAAGGTAAACTGTCTGGAATAGTCAGTGTGTATATCTGGAACCTAGGGGCATGACTGGAGCACCCATATCTAGGAGTAAAAGTTAATAGAAGGCAACAGCAATCCAGCAGAGACAGGTCTACTGAGAGCTCACACTTTTATTTAAATGGCAGGTTTACATTACCCCACCAGATAAAGAATCCCAACCAGACAAGGTGCTGGCCGGGGTAAAAGAGAACTTGAAATGTGTTTTAGAAGAAGAAACTCCAGCCCATGACCAGACACAGAAATGAAGACTGTAGCCACTATGCACATTTTTGTTAAATATATCAGTATGTATCCATCCACTATTTATTTTCTACTTTTCTCCTTCCCCTGTTATTTCCAGTGAGGGAATACCTGGTGCTTATGTTTACATTTCACTTCCCAGGCCAAAATCTCATACCAGGCCACATCTAGAACGAACAGGGAAGATGGTCTATTACCTGCAGATGGGAGGTGCCGAGATGGGCGCAGTGGATGAGAGGACGTTTTGTATCCTCTTGTGCCTCCTGAAGTTGCTGTTGTATGCAAGTTAAACAAAGGTAGAGTGTAAGAATAGCAGCTGAGAGGTGCTGTGGTGGACCCTGCAAGTCACATCTGTGTGCTTTCAGACCCATTCATAACCAGAGTTCAGAAAGGAAGCAAGGAGAAAGGATGGGAACAGGGTCAGGAAGAAGCAGAGCTATGGACAGACAGAAGGAAAGTTTTCAAACATAGGACATGGACTGAGGAGAAAGGGCCAGGGTTTAAATTTCAGTAAGATTTTCAGGGCAGAATGAGACTTCCGGCAACTAAGCCAAGAATGCATACGTCAGTCCAGGCAGAAGACTCAGATCCCTCTTTTTAGACAACTATGACTGACATTCTAAGCTAGATAGACAATAAATACCAGAAAGAAGCATGGTGTGTGATGGGGTGAGGTGGAGAAGGCTTGGCACAGTGGGAGGTGGCTGTAGGGAGGGTGTCATCATGGTGGGATGGAGAAAGAATGGAATTGGGGTCACGTAGGTCTAGAATGGAGTTAAAAGCAGCCACTCTGTTGTTGCTTACCTTACTTGCCTGCATTCTGTCTTATTCATGTTCAGATGGGCTCAATGGTGTGTGAGTAAAAACGAAGTATTGGGTATAAATACTGTGCAACTGCTGGCTCATGATATTAAAACATAGGTGAGAATTGGCATGATGATGGGTGACAATAGTAGGACTGCCTTAGCAAGACCAGGACTCTTGCCCTGCAAATCCAAGCACTTAAGTACAAAGGAAGAGGGATGGGGCACCATAGGTAAAAAAGAGAGACGCTGAAGAACAGACACGAGCTCACAGACAAGGATCAAAATAGCAAGAAATAGTGGAGAGAATTTCAGAGGCAAAGTTAGTTTCATTTAAAGATAAACTGCAGCCCCAGGGTATGCATAGATAAAGTGCTACCAAATGATATCAAATTCACAGAAAATATGAAAATCAAACACTTGGAAGAAAAAAAATAACAAAGGAAACTGACTTTCTCATACTATATAGCACAGAGCTTCCCAGCCCAAGCAAGGGAAATAGACTAGGGGAAAAAAGATCCAAAAAGACAGTGGGGAGAATAACACTCAATAGGACTGTCCAGAAAGAAAGATGAAATGTGTTACACGAGTCTTGAGCACAGGGCAGTTGTTTGCTTGAGATTTTCCCTGCTCTGGGGTAGCAGCTAAATGCATGGCCACAAGGATTCCTGGGCCTTGAGTTTGTGTTGGTAGAGCATGTTATTAGCTCTAAGAAATAAGGAAAGCTCCTAGAGCAACTACTCAGTCTTCAGAAATGGTCAAATGGAAAGAAAGTGTTTAAAGCTCCCTTTTACACAGTCATGGATCACATCCACTGTGCTCTTTGCAATGATTCCACTCACAGCATTAGGCATACACAAATTTCTCCCAAAAATAAACAGTCGCTGAGCTCCTATTGTTTGCCTGGTCCCATAGCCCTGCAGGGAGGAAGGGAGACTTAGAGAAAGCCACTGTACTCAATGAGCACACTGACTGAAAGAAAAATGTGACCAGTACTTAAATATACATAACAAAAAGTAGAAAGGGATAGCCCTCCTGCAGACAAGGGGAATAGTATTATTATTTTGTGAGCTCCTAGTGCATCTCAGGCTGCCTGGAACTTACTTCCCTTTGCAGATTCAGCTTGAGAGGCTGTTAGCTCTGTCTTGCAATCTAGACTCTATACTCATCCCTTGAAATCTTGCAGCTTTGCCATTGCATCCATATGCCCCAGCATCATCCAGTCTATAATCAGATTTTACACTGGTCCTTCATCCTGGAGTGATATTGCAAGTATCACCCAGCAGACCTAGCACTGTGTTAATAGGGGTTTGAATCCAGTCCTAAATGAACTTTTTAAATCTTTCTTCAGCCATGGCACATACAGCTTTATATAAGCCACAGCCTCAGGACAGGGTCTACAGCATCTCTTTCAGCCGTCTTGCTCAGATTCAAAGACGCTGCCTTTACCCTTGTTTCATGCACCCTGCTGGCTCAGGACCTGTACCCCAGGCTTGTGGGGTCTATTTGGTTCCCATGATCCTCCAGATGTCACACTCCAAGCTGCCTCTGCCTGCTTCCAGAAGCAGAGCTCAGTAGGGTTCAACTTCTGCTCAGCTCACTACAGAGGCTTCAGTTATGCTCTGGGCTCCCCAAGAGGTTCCTCTTGTTTGTGAGCACAGCTCATCTATCATTGCTGTGTTTAGCGCAAAGGGAAGTTCACTGCATGAACTCCCACTGCCATTCTGATCAGTGGTCTAGGTCACCTCGTTTAATCTCCACAATGCTCTGGAGAGGTCAGGAATGCCATAAATCATAGACTAGACTTCATATAAAAATTATTAAAATAAAAGAACCCACAGTCAGTTGGCCATGTTGAAAGAAGGAGGAGTTAATATCTGCATTTTACCAATAAACAAATTGGATCAAAAAATTATAACCTGACTATGCTTCTAGTAAGGTTAGAACAGAAACTTGACCCCATATCTGTTGAGTCCCAGAGCCTGTAAATGATGTTGCTTTAGTGTTTGGGGGAGCAAGAATTTATCCATCCATATGCACAAGGAGCTTATCAGTCCTCAAAAAGTAAGGAATGACAGCTTTTTAGACAGGGTGAACCAAAATGGGAAAAGTTCTGGATATCAGAAATACTAGATATATTCTCAAAAACGGCCAGTTCTCCAAACTAAAGCATTCTTCCTCCAGTTATCAGGCAGTGAATGCATCTACCCCGTCAATTCTAATAAATTTACAACTAGTATTGTGTACTACTACATGCCAACCACTAGGTACTGAGAATGCAAAAGATGATTAAATTTTGTCCTGTCTGTAAGGATCCCACAGACTGATAAAAGAAAAAGATATTTTAACAAAAATACTCACTAGTGTTTTTATGTTATGATAGCTAAAAGGCCAGGGTATATTAGAAGCACAGAGAAGAACATTATCAATGCTACTTAGATAAAAGAGAAGTCTTCAAAGAAGAGTTGACATTTGAGCTGGTTCCTGAAAAGTGTGTAGGATTGCAAGAAGTGCAAAGGGTGCAGGATCGGGGAATAGCGGAGGCAAAGGCCAATGGTATGAAACAGATTATGCTTCTTTCAGGAATGGTAAGTGGTCTTATTGGTCAGATCCCTTCTCTTGCCCAGGTGCAAAGACAGAGTAGGGAGAGAGAAAAAAAGGAACAGGTTCAAGCTGGAGGAGTAGTTTGGGGCTCATCTCCCACAGACTGAGTCCCAGCTGAAGCTACAGCTCAGGATGCGTTAGGAATCCCCAGGTCTGAAGCAGGCAAAATCTGTGGCTGAAGGTACAATGATACCACTCTCCAGTTGATCCCAGGCTTATTGCCAGCATCATCCAAGAGAGCTCACTCAGCTGTGTGTATATGCTACCTGACACAGAAACTACAACACTCCTTTCTCCAACTACTCATCCGTGTCTCCACAGAGTTTCAGAGCTACTGCCTTGTTTTCCTCGTCCCATTAAACAGAACTATGGGAAGAGGTGGCTTGTAACGAATGATCTCACACCACAGAGCTATCAAAGCACAGTATTTTGTCCTGGAGACTTGCCACACAAGCAGCAAGCCATCCAACTCTGCTTCACTCCAGGCAAAGGGTAAGGTGAGGACCTGCAGAGAGGGGACTCAGGAGCTGACACAAGCCAGAAGAAGGGCCTGGCAAGGAGAAAGATTTAAGAAGGTGTCGGGGAGAGGGTGGAGTGGAGAGATGAGAAAGACAGATGAGTTCTTCTTTTGGTTTTCTGTTTGTTTTCAAACTATTTACTTCTAATACCAATTGTTTTGTCATTTTTCTTTCAGTCTAGGTCAACAAATATTTACCCAACCCAAACCCAAATCCAAGGACTAGGCTGAGAGTTGGAATTCAAAACAGAAAAGGCATAAACTCTATTCTCATGGAACTCATAATCTAATAAGGAATAGAGTCTCTCAATGTAGCACATTAATAAAATATTATAAGTGCAACAATAGAATTAAGCAAGGAGGCAGAGGGGATGTGTAAAAGAGAAGCCTCAAGAACCAGGGCAAGGCTTATTAGGGGAGTTGGCCCCTGAACTAAATATTTAAAGATAGGTGGGAAGTATTTTTCATATTAATAACATAATTGATAATGAAAACTGCTCCAATAGACATGTAATGAAGTGTTTATGTTGAATAACACTGCATCAATGCAAATATAACAACTGCTATTATGCTGGGAGAAATTAATAAAACCATAATCAAGTCAGGAAACTAAGTCAATTATCTAAACTTTAGACAGATCAAATAGACAACCATAAATGGGTTTTAGGAAAACAATAATATAATAAATAAAGTTAATTTGCTAGATATATATGTTTTGTATTTCACAATCTTTTTAAAATGACTCTGGAATATTGAAAAGAAATAAAACATAAGATTACATTCTAAACACACACAGACCCTTAATTCAATCTAAAAGCTAAAATTATATTAAAATGAAACACAAATTAGAATACCTTTTTGAGTCTTTGTAAATATCAATAAAACAAAATTCTGATAGTGTTAACTAAGGGGCAAAAACAAAAAATAATCAACACTGGGATGATAAGTGCACCCAGCTATAGATATGATTGACTAATATTTTAAGAATTTTATAAATATGTTCATAAGGAATATTGGCCTATTTCTGTCCATTTATATTCTATGCAATTATTCCTATCCATTCGGTTGAAGTCTACAATCTTGCTATTTGTTTTCTTTTTATTATTATTATTATTATACTTTAAGTTTTAGGGTACATGTGCACAATGTACAGGTTAGTTACATGTGTATACATGTGCCATGCTGGCGTGCTGCACCCATTAACTCGTCATTTAGCATTAGGTATATCTCCTAAAGCTATCCCTCCCCCCTCCCCCCACCCCACAACAGTCCCCAGAGTGTGATGTTCCCCTTCCTGTGTCCATGTGTTCTCATTGTTCAATTCCCACCTATGAGTGAGAATATGAGGTGTTTGGTTTTTTGTTCTTGCAATAGTTTACTGAGAATGATGATTTCCAATTTCATCCATGTCCCTACAAAGGACATGAACTCATCATTTTTTATGGCTACATAGTATTCCATGGTGTATATGTGCCACATTTTCTTGATCCAGTCTATCATTGTTGGACATTTGGGTTGGTTCTAAGTCTTTGCTATTGTGAATAGTGCTGCAATAAACATATGTGTGCATGTGTCTTCATAGCAGCATGATTTATAGTCCTTTGGGTATATACCCAGTAATGGGATGGCTGGGTCAAATGGTATTTCTAGTTCTAGATCCCTGAGGGATCGCCACACTGACTTCCACAAGGGTTGAACTAGTTTACAGTCCCATCAACAGTGTAAAAGTGTTCCTATTTCTCCACATCCTCTCCAGCACCTGTTGTTTCCTGACTTTTTAATGATTGCCATTCTAACTGGTGTGAGATAGTATCTCATTGTGGTTTTGATTTGCATTTCTCTGATGGCCAGTGATGGTGAGCATTTTTTCATGTGTTTTTTGGCTGCATAAATGTCTTCTTTTGAGAAGTGTCTGTTCATGTCCTTCACCCACTTTTTGATGGGGTTGTTTGTTTTTTTCTTGAAAATTTGTTTGAGTTCATTGTAGATTCTGGATATTAGCCCTTTGTCAGATGAGTAGGTTGCGAAAATTTTCTCCCGTTCTGTAGGTTGCCTGTACACTCTGATGGTAGTTTCTT
Source organism: Homo sapiens (assembly GCF_000001405.40). Taxonomy (NCBI): domain Eukaryota; kingdom Metazoa; phylum Chordata; class Mammalia; order Primates; family Hominidae; genus Homo; species Homo sapiens. Next base: position 85,517,894 of record NC_000010.11, read on the forward strand.
TTGCTGTGCAGAAGCTCTTTAGTTTAATTAGATCCCATTTGTCAATTTTGGCTTTTGTTGCCATTGCTTTTGGTGTTTTAGACATGAAGTCCTTGCTCATGCCTATGACCTGAATGGTAATGCCTAGGTTTTCTTCTAGGGTTTTTATGGTTTTAGGTCTAACATTTAAGTCTTTAATCCATCTCGAATTAATTTTTGTATAAGGTGTAAGGAAGGGATCCAGTTTCAGCTTTCTACATATGGCTAGCCAGTTTTCCCGGCACCATTTATTAAATAGGGAAAACTTTCCCCATTGCTTGTTTTTCTCAGGTTTGTCAAAGATCAGATAGTTGTAGATACGCGGCGTTATTTCTGAGGGCTCTGTTCTGTTCCATTGATCTATATCTCTGTTTTGGTACCAGTACCATGCTGTTTTGGTGACTGTAGCCTTGTAGTATAGTTTGAAGTCAGGTAGTGTGATGCCTCCAGCTTTGTTCTTTTGGCTTAGGATTGACTTGGTGATATGGGCTTTTTTTTGGTTCCATATAAACTTTAAAGTAGTTTTTTCCAATTCTGTGAAGAAAGTCATTGGTATCTTGATGGGGATAGCATTGAATCTATAAATTACCTTGGGCAGTATGGCCATTTTCACAATATTGATTCTTCCTAGCCATGAGCATGGAATGTTCTTCCATTTCTTTGTATCCTCTTTTATTTCATTGAGCAGTGGTTTGTAGTTCTCCTTGAAGAGGTCCAATTAAAAGAACTAGAAAAGCAAGAGCAACCACATTCAAAAGCTAGCAGAAGGCAAGAAATAACTAAAATCAGAGCAGAACTGAAGTATGAAATAGAGACACAAAAAAACCCTTCAAAAATTAATGAATTCAGAAGCTGGTTTTTTGAAAGAATCAACAAAATTGATAGACTGCTAGCAAGACTAATAAAGAAGAAAAGAGAGAAGAATCAAATAGACGCAATAAAAAATGATAAAGGGGATATCACCATTGATCCCACAGAAATACAAACTACCATCAGAGAATACTACAAACACCTCTATGCAAATAAACTAGAAAATCTAGAAGAAATGGATAAATTCCTCGACACATACAACCTCCCAAGACTAAACCAGGAAGAAGTTGAATCTCTGAATAGACCAATAACAGGCTCTGAAATTGTGGCAATAATCAATAGCTTACCAACCAAAAAGAGTCCAGGACCAGATGGATTCACAGCTGAATTCTACCAGAGGTACAAGGAGGAACTGGTACCATTCTTTCTGAAACTATTCCAATCAATAGAAAAGGAGGGAATCCTCCCTAACTCATTTGATGAGGCCAGCATCATCCTGATACCAAAGCTGGGCAGAGACACAACCAAAAAAGAGAATTTTAGACCAATATCCTTGATGAACATTGATGCAAAAATCCTCAATAAAATGCTGGCAAACCAAATCCAGCAGCACATCAAAAAGCTTATCCACCATGATCAAGTGGGCTTCATCCCTGGGACGCAAGGCTGGTTCAATATATGCAAATCAATAAATGTAATCCAGCATATAAACAGAACCAAAGACAAAAACCACATGATTATCTCAATAGAAGCAGAAAAGGCCTTTGACAAAATTCAACAACCCTTCATGCTAAAAACCCTCAATAAATTAGGTATTGATGGGACGTATCTCAAAATAATAAGAGCTATCTATGACAAACCCACTGCCAATATCATACTGAATGGGCAAAAACTGGAAGCATTCCCTTTGAAAATTGGCACAAGACAGGGATGCCCTCTCTCACCACTCCTATTCAACATAGTGTTGGAAGTTCTGGCCAGGGCAATTAGGCAGGAGAAGGAAATAAAGGGCATTCAATTAGGAAAAGAGGAAGTCAAATTGTCCCTGTTTGCAGATGACATGATTGTATATCTAGAAAACCCCATTGTCTCAGCCCAAAATCTCCTTAAGCTGATAAGCAACTTCAGCAAAGTCTCAGGATACAAAATCAATGTACAAAAATCACAAGCATTCTTATACACCAATAACAGAGAAACAGAGAGCCAAATCATGAGTGAACTCCCATTCACAATTGCTTCAAAGAGAATAAAATACCTAGGAATCCAACTTACGAGGGACGTGAAGGACCTCTTGCTATTTGTTTTCCATTTTTGTCTTTTGTTTTTGTTCTTCTGTTGATGTTTTCTTGCTTTTTTTTGGGGGGGGGGTTGGAGGTGGGTGATACTCGAACACAATCACATATTTTATGTCGTCTATTAACTTCTCATCAATATCTCTTTCATTATTTTTTATAGTTGCTCTAGGGCTAATAATCTGTACTTAATTTCCAGTAGCCAGACAGATTAATGTTTCCACTTCACACCTGACACTTTCCTCTTCTGATGCTTCCACTTTCCACTATGCTCTTCACACCTCCCACTTATCACTTTTCAAATGTAATAATTAAAAAGCAGTAAAGTTATATGTACATAACCCCTTTCTTTAGTGCTATTGTGCCACTTTTTATTTCTACACCATAATCCTACTTTATGATGTTAATATTTTGTGGTAAACAGTTATTATTTATAGAAATTATAAGCAGCAAAATGAATAGCTTTTTATGTGTAACTACTTCTTTTCAATTTTTGTTGCTTTCTTTTGCTTCCTAGATATCTGAATTTCCGTCTGATATCATTTTTCTTCAACCTTAAGAACATTTTGAATTTCTTCCATTGCAAGTCTGCTAGTAGCAAATTCTCTCAGTTTTATTTATCAGATGTCTTTATTAGCCCTTCATTTTTAGATGTTATTTTTAGTTTGTATAGAATTCTGAGTTGACTGACACCACCACCACCCCAGCACATTAAGGATGTCATTGCATTGTACCCTGGCCTGCTCTCTTCCTGATGAGAAGTTATTGGTCATTCTCCTCTTTGCTTTCCTGTATATAATGTGACTTTTTTTCACTGGATACTTTAAATATCTTCTCTTTCTCTTAGGTTTTCAGTAGGTTGACTATAATACACCTTGAAGCAGTTTTCTCTGTATTTATTCTGCTAGGAGTTCATTAAGCTTCTTATATCTGTAAGTCAATGTTTCTCATCACAGTTTGTAACTTTTCAGTTATTGTATTTCAAGCATTTTTGTATCATTATTCATCTAGTCTCCTTATAGAAATCCTATTTACACACATCAGACCATATTATATTGACTCACATAACCCTGAGGCTCTGTTGATAGTTTTTTCTACCTTTATTTTATCTCTTCTTTGGATTAGATTATTTCTTTAGATTTTGAGTCAAGTTTGATTCCTCAATTTTTCTCTACCTTCAATCTGCTGATCTGACCATGCAATAAATTTTTCCTGCAATGAATTCCTAAATGTGTATTTTGTTATTTGTCATAGTTTCCATTCCTCTTAGGTGATTTCTGAATGCCTTATTCATTAATATAATATTTTATTTTATTCCTTAAACATATTTCTTTATGTTCTTCCAGCACTTTATAGTAGCTGTTTTACATTGTGTGTGTGTGTGTGTGTGTGTGTGTGTGTGTGTGTGTGTGTGTGTGTTTCTGCTAAGTCCATATTAAAGACCATCTTGTGGTCAATCTCTATTGACTTTTTTCCCCCATGACTAGTTTTATCTATGTTCAGCAATTTTTGATTTCCTACTAGACATTGCTGTGTAGAGTTGTATGGACTTTGGATTCTGTCATCTTTTTCTAAAGAGTGTTGGCTTTTGTTCTAGTAAGTAGTTTACTTCTTGCTCACCTTGCAACTGAGTAAGTTTTCTTACATCTTATTATGGAAGATCTGTTGAAAAGCAGTTCTGTTTTCATGTCCTCTTTAACATGGCAAGATTCAACTTCCAAACACTGTCTCTTTTTCAGAATCTTGTTAAAGTTTGTTTTCAGACTTTTTAAAGAGAAATAAAATAAAACTTACTAAAAATTTAATCTTTCCTTATAAGGAGTAGTAGTCCATTCTCACACTGCTAATAAAGACATACTTGAGACTGAGTAATTTATAAAGGAAAGAGGTTTAATGGACTCACAGTTCTACATGGCTGGGGAGGCCTCACAATCATAGTGGAAGGCAAAGGAAGAGCAAAGGCACGTCTTACATCGCAGCAGGCAAGAGAGCATGTGCAGGGGAACTGCCCTTTATAAAACCATCAGATCTCATAAGACTTATTCACTATCCTGAGAACAGAAAGTGGAAAACCTGCCCCCATGATTCAGTTACCTCCCACCAGGTCCTACCCAGGATATGTGGGGATTACGGGAGCTACAATTCAAGATGAGATTGGGGTGGGGGGAAACAGCCAAACCATATCATAAGGGAAAGCCTAAAGATGTCTTAAGTGGATATCTCCAACATCCCTGAGCACTGCTTGAGCTCTAGTATCTGTTCCGTTCTCCATCCTATAACAGCTACATCTTCTAAGTTTCTCATTAAACTTGTACAGCCCTGGGTCCTTGTCAAGGACTCATGGAGACTCATGAGGAAACCTCTGTCCAGCTCTCTATCCTCTAGTGCCTGCCTATTAAATTCCAGCAACTTTGGTTTTCTCAAACCCTAATATCTACCTCCTCTGATCAGTGATGCTGCTGTTCTTTGCTTGGACTCCAGCTCACTACACAGCCATCAGAAAACTGTCCCCCAGGCAGAAACCTGAGGCCATGATGGGGATTACCGAATGAATTGCCCTTTTTTCCCAGTAACTGCCATACTGTTTTCAATAATGGTTGTGCCATTTCACACCCCTGCTAGTAGCAAACAAAGCTTTCAATTCTCCACATGACTTACCAACATTTTTTCAATTAAGTGAACATTTTAACTATGTTCATTATATCTTTCCCCTCCATTGCTTAAAATTCTTTGGCAATTTCCTACTGTACTCAGCAAAAGAACTAGACATTGACTATCAGGTCTTGGTCAAGCCCCTATCTGCCTCTCCAGCTATGGGATTTTATGAGGCTTCCTAGAACCTGGAAACTTTTTACCTCAGAATATTTGCACCGCCAGATTTTTGGATTTCAACTTCCTCAACTTTTCATGTAACTATTTCAATTAAAACTTTGAAATCTGATACAAAGTAAGATGATGTCAATGTTATTGAATATTCATCTGGAAGTGGAACTCAGTGTTATCAAGATCAAAAATAAGAGTTGTAAATATTAGAAAGAAGGAAGTGGCCAGGCCCAGTGGCTCATGCCTGTAATCCCAGCACTTTGGGAGGCTGAGGCAGGTGGATCACCTGAGGTCAGGAGTTAGAGACCAGCCTGGCCAACATGGTGAAACTCTGTCTCTACTAAAAATACAAAAATTAGCCCGACGTGGTCATGGGAGCCTGTAATCCCAGCTACTGGGGAGGCTGAGGCAAGAGAATCACTTGAACCCGGGAGGTGGAGGTTGCAGTGAGCTGAGATAGTGTCACTGCACTCCAGCCTGGGCGACAGAGCAAGACTCCATCTCAAAAAAAAAAAAAAAAAAAAAAAAGAAGGAAGAATGCTAACCAACATTACTTTACAGTGGGATGGGATTAACTTACCCCCTTTTTCTTAGAAAAATAGGTTAATAATCAAGATTCTATGCTCTGAAGTTAGCACTTTGGTTAAAATCCTGGTGTGCCACTTACTTGCCCTGCCACATTGGTAACTCAATCACTCCAAGTCTCAATGGCAATAAAATGTGTAATTTACTTTGCTCAGGGCCTAGCAACCAAGTAGGAATTTAGTAAATGTGAACTATTATCTTTTTGAATAATGTTTCTAGTATAAGCTTTTGTTTTGTGTATAAGAAGAAAGCCTATTAAAAACAAATATGCCAAAACAAAGAACGCAGACTGAATGATCTTATATTTTAATCTTGTCTGCTATAATCTTGTCTGCTGCAATCTGCCGTCTCTTCCTTGAGTCTTCTGTTTCCATCAGGGCTTCATTTTTTAATAGCACTGAATCTGAAAGATAACAACAGTAATTATAGGGGAGAAAACTGAGGCATAGCAAGGAGAAGGGCTTGTTAGTGTTAACCTGCTGTCACTGGAAGAGCTCTGATCTGAAACTGGGTCTGTTCTATGTTGTTCACTCTGCCAAGTGGCCTGTGAACTAGGGAAGGGTGTTGCCCTTGCTTCTCTCCTTATCCTCAATACCTGTGTGGTCTGAAAGACTGAAATAGATACTGCTTTATCAACTAAGACAGGCCCTAAGGTTAAGAAAACAAAAGTTACCCATGGATCGAGCATTCAGGGCCCAGCTGGTATGGCAAATTTCTAAATTCCTATGACCACAAGAAAAAAATCACACCCTCACAAAACTCCCCAGCAATAGGAGCTGTCAGGCTGATTTGCAACCCAGGCCGCTACACATCTGATTGGACAGACCACCAGCCTTACAAACATTCTTTTCTGATAAGTAATTGCAGAACTTAAACCATTTGCAGCAGCTCATAGAGGCTGCGCACAAATTGTCTTTGTGTCTTATAATTCACCTTTGATGTGAAGAGCCAAATTCCACCCCATTTCAATGCTAAAACCCTGCCCTAAAGTGAACATGGAATGTATGATACGTACTGGTTTACCCGTTATGCATGCACTTGGCTTCTCTCATAAATATGTATAGCTTTCTCCCAAATCTGCTGAATATGTATGATACTGGCCCTCTGAGCCATAAAACCCAACCTGTCCTTCCACTCTTCAAAGAGAAAGTAGCTTTAGTACCAGCCATAGAAAGTGTCTTCCCAGTTTGCAAACTGCTACTGCCAATAATTTCTACTATCCATCCTGGTGGTCTTTTGAATGACAGCTGCTACCTTCCTAGTGTCTTGTCCTCAGTACCCAGATAGTGACCTAAAAGAAAGGAGGGATGCATGCACAGGAAGAAAGGAGGGAGAAAGGACAAAAGGAAGAAGTTTTCACAAACCTATTCAGTCATGTTACTAGTGTGATTATATTGAATTCTTTGCCTTTTCTTCCTCAGTGGCAATTCTTAAAATAACCTAAACCTATGATCCATGAAACTGAGAAAGAAATGAGATCAGAGGTAATCTGATTTTCCCCAGACTCCCTTTTCTATTGTCTCTGAGGCAATTGGGAACAACTGAGAGACTGTTCCATGTAGAGGAAATGAAGTGTGTTCTGTCAGACACAACATGTGTGCTTTGTGACAGGCCTGTGTTTAAAGCAAGTGTCGTCAAAGTTTCTGGGAAGTATTTAGTCTCAGATCTTCTCTCCAGCTCCAACATCAGGACAGCCACACCTCTGTGTTGCTTTGTCCCCCTCTTCCTCACCACATGTATCCCATGCAGCTGAAGAAAGACTTTTCTATCAGACAGAATGGGCTAAGTAATTAGCAGGAGTCTTTGAGTAGCCAGACAATGACAACGTTAGCCTGAATTGTTTAGATAAATTAGGGCATGGGTAAAACCTGAATTCATAACAATAGAGACTCCCAAGAAGGTGCTTAGAAGAAACCAGTCACTAGGTTTTGCTGTGGTGAGATGGGGCAGCCAGTGCTCTGCTTTACTGAGGTAAAAGTGTGAGTTTGTGTATCTGTGCCTACAAATATGTGAGGCATGTGTGTTTGAGTGTGGGGCAGTGTGTGTGTGTGTGTGTGAGGGTTTGGGGAGAGAAACAAGAAGAAGAATATACCAGCAGAAGATGCAAAATCTTTCCCTCCCTTTCTTGTCCATATTCAATGAGTAGTTCTAGAATATTCTGGAATGGGAGCTGTCAGAGGGGAAGCACATGTTGACTGTTACTCTCATTAATTGAGGCTTGTATTCAGTTCTGCTGGAAAAGAAAGCTCCATCCTTGAAGGACTGACAATCCCTCAGATAAAACGCCCAAAACTGCTGGTATTCAGCTATTAGTGAGCTGCCAATGATAGTAAAAACAATAAAAAAGATGAATTAAGAGCCCTGTGGGCATTGAACTGGTCAAATGGGTGTTTTCTGAGATGGGAAAGAGTTTGGACAAGCAGAGAGTGGCAGAAAGGAGAGGGTTCCTGGGCATTGAACATGAGCCACATGTGCTTGTGGTGGGGAATAGACAGACAGGGAAGTGGAGGGCAGGTGGGCTCCCAGACCTTCCAGGCCAGGGGGCTGCTGAAGGAGGCACAGGTAGGAAGAGGATGGGGAAATGGGAGATGGGGTATACAGGAACTTCATGCGGTTCCACACTTTTAGATTTTAGACTCATTCTGCAAGGTGGAGCATTTCTTCTTTAAACCTTGATGGCACAGTGACAGATGTTTTAAAAATGTACTTTCATTTAATTTTTTCCATGCCCCTGGATGGCAGGTATTATTATTCCCATTTTACAAATAAGGGACCAGAAAAGGTGGAAGGAGGTTAGGAAACATGTCTATGGTCTATTCAAAACCTGTAAACATTTTATTTTTTTTTCTTTTTGTTTCTATCACATCACCTCTGTCTGAAAAACCTCTCCTGCTGCTAGTCTCCTTGTCACATAAAGCAATCCGAGCTTAGACCTTGGTTCCCCAGTCTATGAAGAATGGATACTGATTTGGTGGGAGGAGTTTGTAAGAGCCCATTTTGCCCCAGAGTTCAAGGCATCCCAGGTGGGGACAAGGGGGGAAGACTCAGTTAGCATGTATCACTAAAACATAAAAATTGAAGTTCATTCTTGTATTCCACACACACTGATTTGTCGGTTTCTGTGTGCTAGAACATGGTCATTTGAGTGCAGAAATTGTCCCCTCAGATCTCAGCTGTGTTGATAACTGTGTGAGCATGTGTAATTTTCTCAACATCTTCTGAGCTTCAGTTTCTTAATCAGGTAAATAGGGATAATTGTACTGACTTAAAACAGCGGTATTAAGAATCAAGTGAAATGAGCTTTCTGTTCTTTTGTATAAAGAAAACAACAATCTTTCCCTCCTATTGGCTGATCTCCATGAATCTGTGTCAGTCTGTTGTTAATGCAAGGGCAAAGGGAACAGTTTGCCTTCGTCCTCTGAAAGTACGCTGAAAAATAAACTGACAAAAGGCATATTAATAAGAGAAAAGGCATATAAATTTATTAACATGTACAGGGGGGAATCACAGGGTAATCACCCAAAAAAGCCAGTGTAGTATAAGAGCTTATGCATCCTTCTTCACACAAGAGGGAACAGATGGAAAATGTAGACAATTCTTTTGAGGAGCAGTCAATCATTAGAAAGAATGAATGGACCCAGGCAGAGGGAGTCAGACACTACTAGAATGGGAGAGGTGGCACTGTACAGGGACAAAGGTTGTTTTATTTTGCAGATAAAGTCCTCCAGGTTATCACTTGGAGCTGCTCTCAGAAAAGCAGATGATGTCTGGGTGTGGTGACGACTTACAGTCTCTTCTCTTCTCAGGTGGTTGATCTTCCCTGGTTATTTGATGAGATTCTTAGGGAGGAAGTCTTAAGACAATTGCATTACTTTTGGAAAGAAGTTTTGTTAATCATATAAGGAAATTCCAGAGACACTCCCTCCCAAGTGCTTCAGAGAAAAGGGTGAGAGAGACAGGGAGGTGTGGAAAAGATCAGAGAGAGACCATAGTTCTGAGGTTTATTTCTGAGTCCTTTCAATTCTCAAAAGCAATCAGCATACCCAAGCACTATATTTTGGGAAATTGTTTTGTGCACCCTAACAGTAACATAAAAAGAGCCCTATCCTGGTGGGTTCTGCTGGTCCAGTTCTCTGCAAAGTAAAAACGAGTATATCCATGTCTGCCAACCCTTGTATCTCTGAGAGAGATGCAGATGCACTCACAGTGAGATCTGATGACTGAGCGCTTATTCAGAATCCAGAATCACTTTTGAATTACAGGCAATGCTCATGCACTCTGAAGGTTGGTGTCTGGTAGGAGGGTGCCAGATTGGCAGACATACAGAACAGAAATGTTCAGAATGCCCACATATTTCCTCTTGAAGAGGAAGCCAGGCCCATGACATCATGCCCTCCTGTGCCACTAGGAGCCTAACACCACTGGCCGAGTGAATCAGGAATAGTCACTTAGAGTCACTAATAGGTGACAACCTCCAACCACATTCTGCCACAGGTCAGGGATACAGAGCTCTGTCCAGTGTCAAAGGAAAATATAATTGCCTATGGAAGAGGCAAGCAAATATCCTCTTCCTAACCCCAGAGGGGCCATCCTTTCTACACTTAGAACATCTGAGTTTAGAGGAAGTAGCTTTGTGAGTGGAGGGAAGCTGAAGAAGGAAAGGTTTTCTCCAGAAGTCCGGAGTGCTTCCTCTGAGATAAAAGCAAAGAAAGAGGGGGATGGGCCAGAAACCAAAGCTAGTGGGGGTGACTCAGCAGGATGTGTCAGCTATGAGACCCAGAGAACAATGTGTGCAAGGCCTGTGGAAACAAGTCTTTACCAGGACTGCTAGGAAGTCCTACAGAACCTCTCTCCACACTCTGAAAAGACTACTGTCCCCCTAGCCATGACTGGGGTTAGGAGGGCTCAGGCTGTGGTGAGGGTACATAATGGTGACTGCTGAGCAATGGAGATGTTACATGACCACCAGTCTCATTTGCTCAGTGTGCAGTAACAGACCAATACACTGAAACAGCAGGAGTTACAGCAGAGAAAGAGTTTCATAATCCATTGGGCAGCCAAATGAAGAGACAGGAAGAACCTCAAATCTGCCTCCCTGAGGGGTTTTGGGCTAGGGTTTTAAAGGGAATTGTGGAGAGAAAGGGGCTGGAAGATTGTGATCACCATTTGGTCAGGGTTAGGGGGTGAAATCATCAGGATGTAGCAACAACTGCATTCTTCAGTTGAGTGAGCTCCTTGGTGGGGACCTTCAGGTTAGCTAACATTGGTACTTTCACTGGAATATGAGTTCTGAAAAATAACTTAAATGGAAAACTTGACATTTCTCAATGATAAAGATGTTATCTATAGGAGCAACTAAGGAAAGTTAGTGCTTTGTGACCTGGTCTGTGACTTACGGGAAGTAAGTGACTATAAGCAAGTGGGCCAAAGGGTGTGCTGGTTAACCGTTACGTTGAGCTGTAATTGTATTCCAGGCGTCTACTTTTGTCAAAACACCTGGCAATTGATTTTACTAATTTTATGAGGATGGCTTCAGAACTAACTGGGCACATGTATTTTCTCATTAAATTTCACACTAATGTTGAAAAGAGGTGGTGAGGCTTCAAAGTCAGAAACTGACCCAGAATTAGGCGTGCTGTAGATACTCAATAAATATTCCTTGAATGGAAAAATTGGATTATTCTCAGTTGGGGTTCAGGCTCAAATGGTTGCCAGGTAGTGTTTTACTCCAATGGCCAGAATCTAAGTTGGCATGGGCTTGTGTCAGGGCTCAATGAGCCTGGAGGTGAGTCCAGGTTGTGACCAAGATCCAGGCTTAGTCTAGGATCTTGGCTGTGTCTGAAGCCAGGCTGAGATCAAACTGAGGGATTATCAGATTTGTGCTTCAGGATCTTCCTCCCACCACTTGGAGTCTGTCCTCGGGATTTGCGGTTCATCTTCCCCATGCCTCCTCCTTGCTCACCTCAGAGTTGGCATCTGTATCACTGTACCCAAGTCTCCTACATGCTTTCTCCTTCATTGCAGACCCTGGGCTCCCTGGGGTCCTCAGTGATATGCCCTGACTCATGCTCAATACAGACAAGACTCTGCACCAGAATGGCAACACCAGGATGATACGGGAGGCTGCCAGGTGATACAGGCCACCACATCTTGGATAGGCCATGGTATTCACATGTAAAGATGTGCGACTTTGAACAACAACAAGAGAGAACCTTGGGATATGGAAGCACCCACAATTAAAGTACAGGCAATTGAATTTCAGTTAAGCTTAACTGCAATTAAGCTGTCAGACTATCAAAATGGACCAGAAAGGCAATATTGAGTGGGTCTTTTTCCCAGTCCTCTTATGGACATGTCCTGGTGGCCTACAGGGATGGACGGTGCAGGGGGAGGCATGGGTAGTGGGCTTCCCACAGCATGATCCACTTCTCTGTTGGCTCATTTTCATTTTCTTTACCAAAGACACACAAAAAGAATTCAAAACTACCGTGACCCAAATGTGTAACATACGGTGCAATTAGTAAGAGTGCATTAAGAACCAAATTGGTCCTCCACTGCCACTTTTCTGATAATGAGAGGGAGGAAAGACTAGGAAAACAATTGCAAAGCAAATAGCTGAGACACAGTGCTAGCTTCCCTGAGGAGGAAGGCTCTCAGAATGGGCTCAGTCTCTGGATCCAGGGACACTTCTTGGAGAGAAAAAAAAAAAATCCTTTCTAGAAAACAGTATTTCTGGAAATAAACTTGACAGTATGGAACAAACATCCTAAAAATGTCTAAGACCATTGTTCCACTAAGTTCACTCCTAGCGATTTATTGTAAGGCAATAACAAAAAATGTAAACTGAGATTTATTTCAACATTAATCATAACAGTGAAAACTTAGAAAAAAACTTGAAGGAACAGCAATATGGGAATAGTTACGGAAATTATGATAGAGACAAACAATGGAAAATTATATCACCATCAAAAATTATGCATACAGAGAATCCTTAATAACCCAGGGTGATGCTTCTGACAGAATTGTTAAACCAATCACAGCACATAAATCTAAAAGTGCAGTGTAATCTCCATTGTTTTATCTACCAGTTTGTGTCTTCATCTAGCTTAAAAACTCACTGTAAATACATAACAGTGATAAATAGTGGTTATTGCTAGACATTGAGCTCTGGAATGAGTTAAACAGTGTTTTTGTTATTTCATGTATCTTGCAAATGATTTCCAAAGGGTATGTAATGCTTTGATAAGCTGAGAAAAAAAATTGCATCCTTTGGAATAAAAAAATACATCTCTTCCTCAGCCTCATATTTCTCCCATACGAAGTAAAGCTGCCTTTGAGACCAAGGGCTCTGGACTTTTTCTCTGTAAACAATGCTCTTCTTAGCTCCCAGAAAGAAGAATTCTGACACCCCATAATGCAGACTCTTGGAGGCTCTCCAGCCTTAGCTCAGGGATCATTCTTTGCCTTTAAATACCAGCTCACCTGTCCATTCAAAGCAGTTTCTTGCAGGATGGTCAGAACCAGCAAGATGAAGATCAGGTGGCAAAATGTCTCTTTTGAAAGTGTTTTCTTAATCTCATAATAGGGACTGAAGAAATTACGGTTGCAACCAGGATCTCCTAATGCCTTGTTACACAATGTGTGGTCCCTGGGCCCTTAGCATCAGCCTCAGCCAGGAGCTTGTTTGATATACAAATGTGTGGGCCTCACCCAGACCTACTACTGAATTGGAGTCTGTATTTAACAAAATCTGCAGGTGACTCTTAAACACATTATTACAGTTTGGAAAATGCTGTTCTATAAGTTAGGTTTGCAACAATCTGGTATAATACAACAAGCACAAGATGATAAGGCAGGGCACCTAGTCGTTGGTCCCAGCTCTATAATAGAAAAACTAAATGACCTTGAAAAGCTGGATGCCCTTGCCTGAGCCATCTATGTGCATATCTAGATTTTAGTCTCCACATCTGAAAAATGGGATTAATAAAATTTCTCCATGATAGGGTTTGGACGGATCAAATTTAGTGGTGTAAATAACCTTAGTGCTACATGGAACAGAATAAGAATTAAATTATTTTTGTCATCATTAGCATAATTATACATGACAGTTGTAAGGATCAAATGAGATAATGAATATGCAAACCTTCTACAGATGTAAGAGATTCTTACACAGATGTGAAGAGAAATTATTTTACAGATGTTAGGGATCATTCTCATCCAGAAAGCCAACTATGAAAGAACACTTGGGAAAAAGAGTGAAAATGTAGGCTCTCCTGGGAGAATTTTGATTCCATGGGCTCAATCTCAGAGAGAGAATCAGCAAAAGTAGGGTAGACCGGGTGGGGTAAGTTTTTACAAATGCACAGCTTCCTTCATTATTCTCAGTTCCCTCCCACTCAGGGAGGAGAAAAATGACACCCTTATTAGGAGAGTTAGGGGAAGTTTTAGAGCACCCGCCCTTTTACTCTCCCAGGCACCAAATCAGACAATCCCTCACCCCTGAGGCTGCTGGTGAATAATCTTTGCAAATTTTTTCCCATTTTCAGATGTTAGGAAGCTCTGCCTGTATGCCCTTGAACTAGGAGGAAGGAAAGCCTGCACTTCACACAAGCTGTGTCAGCTGTCAAGCAAAGCGGCCAAATGTCCTGGATAGGGAAATTCATAAAAGTTTTCAGAAATGGCTCGAATTACCTTAGCCTTGAACAAAAGCAGCAGGAAGGTATCCTAGGGAGGGAAGGGGAGCTTGAAAGGTGCAGAACAGACTGGGCCAAAGTTGGGGAAAGTGTATGTAAAGCTTTACATTAAAGGAGCAGAAATAGAAACCTATGGGAAATAACCAGTGTTCTTCCTTTAGACTTGGTTCTGGACCTTGTACACAAAATCCCAAATTCATTAATGAGAGTCCTGGTGAAGAGGTTAAAATAAAGCAAATTGACTCTACTGAACTTGGTCCTTACATTTCCAAATTCCTGGTGATGCCACAAGGATTGATTTTCTAGACAAGATCTGATTTGATTTTGTTCAGTGCTGCACCCAGCAGATGCTTTAAATGTGCATCTTGCCTGATCAGTCCCTGACGTCAGACCTGCTGTCTATGCCTTCCTCTCTCTGTTAAGTGACCACGTTGAAACTGCCTTTGCAAAATTATGAATGAGACAGTGAAAGAGATCTAAACTAACCAACTCCATCTTGCTTCTAACCTTTAAGCTGTCCTTCTTCATTCCTGTGCATAGACTGAACTAACTTTGGGAGGAACTTAGTTTATAGTTTAAAACAAAGACAATAATAGCCATTTCCAAAATCAAGCTGCCTTCTTGCCTAGGGACTAGGTTGCCTTTATAGGACTAACAAATTAGGCACAAGATTAGAAGTGATGGTTTAAGAGCCACACAGCTGGAAGCTACAAGATTCTGACCCTCTCTAAGCTGCTCCTAAGCTCAGTGCTTAGGATATTTTGCTCACCCTGCATTTGATGGATAAGCTGTCACCACCCAGATCAATAAAATGGCTCAACTGATCTTGTGGCCCCCACTCAGGAACTGACTCAGTGCAAGAGGACAGCTTCAGTTCCCTATGATTTCATCTCCTACCTGACCAGCCAGTGCTCCTGACTCATGGACTTCCCCTCACCCACCAAGTTGTCCTTAAAAACTGATAGCTGAATGCTCAGGGAGACTGATTTGAGTAATAATAAAACTCTGTTCTCCCACACAGCCAGCTCTGTGTGACTTACTCTTTATTGCAATCCCCTTCTTGATAAATTGGCTCTTTCTAGGCAGTGGGCAAGGTGAACCCGTTGGGCAGTTACAGTATTTTTTCCTGGCCTCCCTCACACCCCTGACTTTTTCTGTGATTCTTTTTATTTGGTCGGCCTCAGGCTGACCTGGTATCTTCTAGAGTTCCATAATCTACTCTCCAACAGAGGTGGTAAACTCAAACGCCTTGAGGGCAGGAAAGGAAGATGAATGTGTTAAAGGAGCAGAGTGGAATAGGGAGTGGTCTGGAGTAGGAAAAACTGAACCTTGTATGTTCTGCTAAAAAGGTTTCAGGTTTCTTTTACTGAAATCATCGTCCAGGCCAGATTTATCCACTTCCAATGTCTGGCCACTGTGCCCTCCAAATGTCCATCGCCAGTGTTTGAGTCAAGATCCTACCTGTCTCAAAAAGGAAGCCATGTTTGGATTTCTGCCAAGGTTAGTGAGGTCCTAGGGGCCAGAAAGTTCATCAGGACCTGAAATGCAGTCATTTGTCTGACCCTTCTCCACTTTATTGGCCCTTGGGCTGTACTATTTCAGGTCCCATCCAGACTTTTTCTTGACCTCAGCTGGGTTTCCTGGGCTTGTCTGGGTTTTCTGGCAATGTCTGGGGATCAAGGAAAACCTAGTCCCAAAGTCACATGCATGAACCACGTGTGGCAGATGTCTGCAGTGTTTCCCATCACATCCTGTGGCCTGTCTCTCATTTTGGGCCAACCACAGTGGTTAGCTTCATGCAAGCTTATCCTTACCCTACAGGGACAATGCCTAACTTCAAGCAGGAGCCGGCATCTGTCAGCTTTGCTTCTCTGCCAGCACCTTGTTGGGCACCATGGTTATCTGCCCAGCCCTTGTGTGAGCACAGCCTGAAGCACCTAGGAATTAGATGGACCTTTCTGTCTCTATCTTATGCTTTGTTCTCACACATCAGTCAGCCACATCTGAGCTTCCCAATCTGTCCCTTAGAATATCACACTCAAACGCATATGCTCTGTCCTTCACTTCTTCCCTATCCACCTGGATGATTCCTGTGTATTTTTCACACCTCCACTCATGCTTTGACTCCTTTGAAGAGCCTTTCATCATTCCCCTACCCACTTCTATCTCTGTTAGGTCCTTCCTCTGTGTTTACATTTCTTTTCTGAATTTTGCCAACATAGAAGTACTTATCATTTTTTCTTATAATTGTAGAGGAGAAAACATAATTTATTTCCTTTCTTAAGTTCTAGTTTTGGTTACCACATACTAGTCAGAATTTTAATTCTTAACCTTAATTCATAGTGAAAATCTAAGCAGTAAACAATTTTTAACTCAGTCACATACTAACAATTTGTGAATACATATTTTATAATTCTCAGAAACATAAGCTTTCTAATGGAGTCATTTTTCAGTGGAACAGGACGTACTTACTAATAGGTCTAGATATCTTTTGTTTCTCTGAAATAAGAAGCCTAAAGTAAAAAAGTTTACACTCATTTTTAGTAATATCTTAGCAATATATCTTATTTGGAAATGATCTAGATAGTCAATGAATATCAATTATTTAATTTAGCTTAGCAAAAAACTCTAAGGGTATAGTTACTAAAAGATTTGAGAGACTTTTTAAAGTAAACATTAAAAAATTATAATTATTTTTAAAATTTTACTTATAAACTTTTATTTAAATCTATTTTATTTAATTTTAACAATTATGTTTGGAAAATTTTATGAGACTTTAGGCAACTCTGATCATCATCTCAAGTTAAATTTTCTATTAATCATTTTTGTTTTATTATATGTTAGATTAGGCAAGTATCAGAAAAGCAAGAACCTGAAAGCTAAACATATGAATATTTTGCTGATAAACTCAGAAGACATAGTTATTTTTATTAAACCAATAATATTAAACTAGTCTTATTTACCCTTATTTACCCCAAATGATTTACTCAAGTCACATGAACTGGAAAAATATTTGGGCTTATTTATTTAATTTATGAGCACTCATTTATCTTTAAGTTAATTTGGTATCATGTAGAAAATATACAAACATATGTATAGACATATACATACATGTAGATACAACATACAACCTACAAATGTACACATGCATGCATATAAAAGCCAGATAAATCACAGAGTTCAATGTAAAAGAATATAAAGCTTTACAGCTGACAGGAACCTGTCCATTCACAACTCTTGGGGTTCCGGGAGGAAAAACAGAGGTTCCTCCCCAAAAGAGGAGCCTGTGGTGCCTTTTCTGTTTTCCTCCCAGGATCCCAGCGCTGTTAGAAATCTTTTTTAGGTCTACAGTATTGCAATCTTTCCTCTTGCAACATTGTGGGTGGCACGAGGAAAGAAGGACAGACAGAAGTAAATGGAAGAACAAGTCTTAGAGGCAAAAATTACATCAACAAGAGGAGAAACAGACAGAAGAAGTGCATATAGTTGTCATAGAGAAGAAGGGTGTCTTAAAAATATATGCATATACATATAGCCTAAATATCAGCTTTTAATTAAGGTGACTTTTGACTATAGAGCTCTTAAAATCTTTTTATCAAATTTTAGCTGGGCAAATAGCAAACATTGCTGTTTCTTGCCTTTTCCTTTCTTAAATTTACATAAAGAAAGAGTCTTGGAGGTGGGGTATATTTGTTTATTAGAGGTCTAGTGCAATCACTGTTTAAAACTCTTTGTCTTTAAAACGTTTTAATAAACTGTTTCTTTTGTTTTTCTAAGTATGTGGTTCCATTGAGCTTAGGAAAGAAGACTAAAAAAAACAAACAAAAAAGTTCCTATTATGCTCTAAATGTAAGCCAAAATTTAAATCAAAGGTATACCTTGATTGTTTAAAATGAGTAATTTTAGAAATGTTTCTCTCCTGAGCTAAAGGTACCCACTGAGGAAAGGAATTTTGTGGTTGGTTCAAAGCACTTTAACTCTATTTCAAATCCTATCTCAGTTGGAATGCTGCTTATCTAATTCCCTAGACATTTCAAAGTCATGGTTAAGATTTACATCTCCTGGAGACTAAGAAGAATCCCTTAAAAAAAATACTTCTAGATACAAAAGTCCCAATTTCCAAAGTAAACCTACTATAATTGTTACTTAAAATCAGTAAGTCTTTTTATGGCTTATAACCAGACACAAAAATTACATCCCCAAAGAGGATGCAAAAATGCAATCCCCTTCAAGATCTGAAGTTTTTCCAAAGATGGCCTAAGAAAGTAAAGGCCTTTATTATTAGCAAGGCAATGAAGGTTGAGACAATTAAGACAAATCCTGAGAGCCAGCACATTTAGACAAACAGACATTTTGGGCCCAGTGGGACTCCCAGCTGGCTACCTGACATAAGCCAGACAATTTATGCCCTCAAGGTGGCACAGACCACAGAAAAAATTTGCTGCTTACAAAGCCAAGCTTCCCAAGAAATAAAACAAGATGAAAGAAGAATCTTGCTGTGATCCTCCTATGACAAACCACTCAGAAAGTCAGAGACGAGGAAAACAAAGATCATCCTTACAAAACTAAAGATCAATAACCAAATAGGTACTTAAACAAATCTACAAGAGTCACAGATTCAAAGAATTAATTTTATTATTATTTGTAAATGTTTTCCTCCTATCAATCTGAACCTGGAAAGGGAAGGATGAGGAAAATTTTTTACCTTCTTTCTTGGCCAGGTACAACAGATAGAGACCTGAGAGAAGCTGACCTTGGTGAGAAATCTTACTCTTTGCTGCTGCAACTGCCAGGTCTCCCAGGATTTCACCTATAGGTCCTGCAGCAGTCAGGGTGTCTCTGTGGCCCCATCTTGGGTGCCAAATTGTAAAGGAGGAAACATAATTTCTGTCCTTTCCCTTTTTAGATTCTTAAAGAGATGCTGTTGAGACACTCTCCTGAAAACAAAAGTCAGATTAAACAAGTGAGGAAAACAAGCAGAAGTTTATTAACACGTGCTGTACCCATGATGCTCCTGATGAGACCTTTCCTAAGGTCTCAGTTCAAAAGTATTTCTTTCTCAAGGCAGTGGCTTAGGGTCCTTGCTTAAATAATATTTTAACAAACAGCCATAAATCCTACATAGTGACAAGAAAAAGAAGAAAGCATCTTCAGGCTTCCAAAAGGTGGGAAAATATGGGAAGGTAAATTGATGGGGAGAGTGAAATCTGCTCCTAGATCCTCTGGTGCCATTGTCTATGGGCTCTGTCTCTGAGTGTGTTGTTGTGTTCTCTTCGGCAGCACAAGTACTAAAATTGGAACAATACAGAGAAGGTTAGTATGGCCCTTGTGCAAGGATAACACAAAATAAAAAAGCAATAAAGAAGTAAAAGTCTAGTTTAAATTTAAAAAATATATGTATTTTTTTTAAAAAAGAAAGTGTGTTGTAAAGGAGCTTGTCCTTAGGTGGGAAAAGCAGAGAGGAGGGGCAGAGTCTACCTCTGTGTTTTAAACTTTTAACTTTAATTAAAATCCCCAGCATGTTAGAGAGGCATATTTTGCTTATAATTCCTCTTTCTCTCACACATGTATTGAAGGCTCTGTAAAGGATGGAAGACTTGTCAATCATCTCTGTGTTTGCATTCACAGTGTGTGACAAACAACTGGAACTGAGTAAATATTTGTTGGATGAATAAGTGAACACATGAATGTGTGGTTTACAGTATGCTCAGTATCCTACTGGCACCAAATATAACCTTTTGCATAAGACCAGTATCAAAATTAGTAAATACTTCATGGGAATTTATTTGCCACATAGAAATCATTTAATAAATGCCAAACCCTTATTTGAACTACAAAAAGAAAAAAAAAATCACTCAAGAGGGTGAGGGAAATGAATATAAATTTAACAAACCTGACCATAAGGGTTTTAATTATTTAATGATTTAATGAGTCCGAGAGTGGGTGAGTGCATGACTGATTGCTTCATAGAACCCATGGGGTTATGAGAAAGGACCAGAGTTAGCTACAGACCAATACTGTTAATTTGAGAAATACTTAGGGGGTGCCTACCTAATGCCAGGTGAAGTATATAGTAAGACGGAGCTTATGATGAATAGCTCAGTATTCACCAAGCTGTAATTACTTTGGAACGTAAAAGAATGTTTACCTGGTTTGAATAAAATTTAAAACTTTAAATAGTATCCTAAAGGGTAAAATTAGAATTTAGGGCAATTGGAGATCCTAGCAATGTATGTTCTCTACTTCCACCTTAGGTTTTGATTGAAGACACGCTACTCGCACCTAATGTCTCTCTGGATCAATTGAATCCTAAGTCTAACCATTAAGGATAACTATGAAAACTAATTATTAGGACCAATATCAATTTTATTAATGTATATAGGAGGAGAGGGTATCAAAGCACTTAGGAATCTTTTAGCCAAAATCTTGAATTTGTTGCAGCCCAGTCTGAGCCCTAAGGTCCCTGTGACAAAGGTAGAATTGCTCTTGCTCTAACGTTGATTTTGTTACTTCTCATCACTGGTCCACCTTTGCAGATGTCTGGAGAGCCAGCTTTATAACAGAAATGTCATGAGCTTTGGAACCAAACTGAGTCTGCCCTTTATTTAAATGTTTCATAAACTTGAACAAATTGGCTCTAATCTTGGAACCTTGGTTTATTTACCTGAAACGTCAGGGAAAATTGTACCTCGTGCAGAATTTAATGAGGTCATAGTCAAGTAGGCCTGGCATGGTCCTGAAAGCAGAGGACTGACAAAGGGTCCCCCTTTTCTCTTCCTCAGAATCAAGAGCCTTGCTGTTAGGATTTTTCACCTTAACTCCTGAGTTTCTTGATACTTCTCCCTCTCTGCTCCCCTGGTCAAAAGTTCAATGTTAGTAATCATTAAGAGGCAAAGTAGTTGGGAGAAAAGAACCCAAAGGCAAGAATTCCTTGTCTCTTCTTTGTACTTCTAAGGTCTCCTGAGCTGCAGTTTCCTACCTGAGCTAAATGTGGCTTGAAAGGATGTTGGGTGTAGATTCTGGAATTTTCATGTCCGGTTATGTAAAATGAAAAAATCTGAAATGGATGTGGAAATGTCCATTTGCTATTATTATAATCTCACACTTTATCTTCATTTCTGATTGCTATTTAGTCAGCAATAGCTTAGAACATTTCAGCTTTCAGTATCTTCCTCTGTTAAGCAAGTAATGATCTGTAAACAAACACTGCACTAAGTGCTCTTTAAAGGGAACTTTTCACTCTTTTGTGATGTAAAGAATCTTTTATGGCACAAATGAGTACACCTTCTAATTTAGTTTTTAAAAGTAGGATATTTGGGGACTCCATTTACCTATTCTATTTAGAACTTAATTAAAAGTGAAAGAATGTGTATTACTTTTCTTCTGTTAGTGTAAAAAATTACTAGAGGTTGGCTGGGCATGGTGGCTCATGCCTGTAATCCCAACACTTAGGGAGGCCAAGGCGGGCGGATCATCTGAGGTCGGGAGTTTGAGACCAGCCTGACCAACATGGAGAAACCCTATTTCTACTAAAAATACAAAATTAGCCGGGCATGGTGGTGCAGGCCTGTAATTCCAGCTACTCAGGAGGCTGAGGCAGGAGAATCACTTGAACCTGGGAGGCAGAGGTTGCGGTGAGTCGAGATCATGCCACTGCACTCCAGCCTGGGCAACAAGAATGAAACTCAGTCTAAATAAATAAATAAAGTAATTAATTAAAAATAAAAAATAAATTGCTAGAGGTTTAGCAGGACACAACTTATTTTCCTTATCTCACACTTTTATGAGTCAGAAGTCCAGTTCAGGAGGGCTCTACTAGGTTCTATACTCAGAGTCTCACAGGACAGAAACCAAGATGTGAGCAAGCTGGGCCCTTTTGTGGAGGCTCTGGGAGATAAATAGTTTTTAGTCTTATTCAGGGTGTTGGTATAATTTAGCTCCTGTGGTGATGGGACTGAGGTCCTCCTTTCCCTGTTGGCTGGCAGCTGGGGCCACTCTGTGCCCCTAGACACTGCCCACATTCCTTCTCATATGCTCACCTCCATCTTCATACCAGCAACAGTGCTTTGAGGTCTTTCTTTTTACATCTAACGTTGCCTTCTGCTTTCTACTCCTGTTAAAGAAAAAATTATTCAATGCCACTTATTAAAGCACATTAATGCAGACTTTATTCGGGGCCATCGCAACAGATATGGGGACTGCAGCAATGAGTTTTCTAACGAAGAGAGATTGGACTCATCTTTGAATACAACATGGGCAAGCGGGAATTTATAGCCAGAGAGCAGGGTGGGAACAGTGGATGAAAAATTATGAACAGGAAACATCAGGGGTAAGGGAAATTCTGGATGAACTGACCTAACAAGATTCTTGCTGAAGACAGTCCAGGATGTTCAGACATCACCTGGGAGATGGTGGAGGATGAGGAGTCCAGTCAGATATCGAGGGTGAGGAGTTCTTGCTAAATTCACTAAGCAGGGTTCTTGCTAAAAGTGGATTTTATAAGGAAGTGCATAGATGGGCCTGGGAGAAGATTCAAGAGACTGACTAATGTTTGGTCAAGCAAAGAAACTCTGTCACACCAGAGAAAGCTTTGTGCATTTCAGGACTTATGGTTAGATTGGGTCAACCCAAATAATCTCCCTTTTTCAAGATCACCTGTACTATATAACATAACAGAGCCATGGCAATAATATCTTTTCATAGTCACAGGTTCCAGCATGGAATCTTGAGTGCCATTTTTAGAAATTCTGTCCACCACAGGTACATCTCTACAGAAAAATAGTTTTCCGCTCTGTCTCCTCCTTCACGTACCATTCTCCTGAGCGTTCTTCAGAAGGATACTGATATCCCTAGGCAAGGAATCCTGGGAAGTTGAATAAAAGTAGACAAAGTAACAGAAGCAGAGGAGACATCAGATAAAAACTGGGATTTCTCAGCAATTTTCTTGAGTTAACATCATTGAAAAATAGGAGCTTCTGAGGTTGAACCAAACCCAAGTTCTGAAGTATCTCACTAAGACTGAAGAGGAATGTATACCAACTCATAGTTTCCTTGAATTAGACAGAATAATTTCACTGAGCTGCTAGATTATATAATAAAGTCTGCCAAGCCCCATTTGATTAGAGTGAGCACTCACCATTTGTCCATGGACTGTTAGATTGATAAGTGATACCAAACCAGGCTTATTCTGCCCACACACAGCAAGCCAATCACTGATATGAGTTTTACAAAAGGGAGTTTATTCATGAGGCAGCCAAGTGAGGAAATGGGAGAACATGTCTCCAGTACATCTCCCTGAAGATGGGGTTTTAGCGATATTTATGGGATAGAGGATTAAGGTGGTCCAGGCATGGGGAAAAGTGATTGGCAGTGGGGAAAGATGATGTAATCGATGGTCTTTGCAAGTGTAGCTGGGGGTCATGACTCTTCATAGGACGCATGTTCATTAGCATGATCTGAGGAAGGAGTTTTGTCCCTCTAATGCCAAAAGATAACCTTTTAGGCATTTCTGCAGGCCCAGTTGAAGGGTCGGTGGTCTCAATCAGTTGAAACCAGACAAGAGCTGTCCCCCAGCTCCCAAAAAACAAGTTAAAGCAACCGTTACCATAGTGACATACACATCAGATATATTATCTGTAAGGAAGCTAGTGAGAGTTGAGTTACGTATTGTTTGGCTACATGACTTTTAGCTATAAGGGTTTAAGATCAACTAGAAGTAAGCAGTTAAAAGCAAGCAAGGCAGGTTAATTTTGGCTAGCTTAATCAGGTCAGCCTTCAGTTTCACAAGGACAAGAGTACACAGTTATTGAGAAGACTGATAGGCAAGAAAGTTCTTAATTAAAACAAGATGTTAATTTCTTTATAGATTGATTTATATTTTTTCTTAATTACCCATTTATATTAAACTATATAACACAGTTTGTCATAGCTAAAGGTGAAAAAATTCATTAAAATCTTCCATGTGCTGTGGGCAAACAATACCTTCACAAAACACAGGATGAAAAGTATCTAGGCCATCATTCCTGACTGTACTCATTCATTTTTCAGTAAGTGCTGAGCACTTACCATGTGTCAGACACTGATGTGGGTATGAGAGAGACAGCAAAGAACAGAATGTGCCCAGATCCTGTCTTCACGAGATTTACATTCCAGGGCCCTGAAAAGTGCGCTGCTGCACAGGTGCTCCTGGGCATGAGAAGCAAAGCTGCTTCCTGCAGAATAGTGACTCTGCAAGAGCAGAGCCCAAGGCAGACACCCATCTCATGCCTGAGATCATGTGTCAGGGCCAGAGCTTGGTCAGAGTGAAGATTAAAAACGAGCTACTATCCCTGGTATACGTAAGAAGTGATTTATTGGCCTCCTGCAAATTCCAGAGTCCACCCGAGCCTGTTCTGGGAAAGTGGATACGTTCAAACAGGAAGACTTAACCTAGAGACTCCAAGGTTTATCTAGGGGATATAGGCACTCCATATCATTTAAAATATGTAACAAAATTTTTCTTTCATAGGACTTTGGGTAAGATAGTGCAATTTGAGCACAGGGTTTAACTGCCTTTCTCTCTATTAATTCCATTGGAAAGATTGATAGGTAATAAAAACAGGGGAAATTTTCATCAGGCCTGTGTTTCTATCAAAAGTGAAAAAAATAAACTGAGGGATTTCTAAATTATACCTTATTTCCATCCAGGGGGAAATAAAGAGGCATGACTGAACCTCCAGAGGGGCATCAATAGGCTGATAAGGCATAGTCAAAAAGAGCATTTGTTCATATACAAACCTCACAGTGAGTTTGGAATAGCTTCCTGGCTGATTGGGATTTGCAGATGCCCAGAGAATGTACTGATGAAGGAACAGTTGTGAAGTGCCATTGTGAGCAGAGCCCAGGAGGGAGAAGAATAAAGAAAGCCCCTGCCCCCAGGAAGAAAGCACATTTGCTCTTCTGAGACTGGAGTATGTCCCCAAGAGGGAGGTTAAAAAAAAAAACCTCTCCATAGTTACCGCAATAGAAAGGGCAAGGACAGGAGGCAACATCAGCCTCGGGCAGCTCTTTTTCTTCTTGACATGGGCAGCCAGTATTTAAAAACAACTGCACTAAGTTCCCTCAGGCTCATGAGCTTGGAGAAAGCAGCCAGTGCAGCCAGCCCAGACTCGTCCTTGATATAGTTAATGGCAACAGAAGCTATCACCCAGCACACACTGCATATATCTCGTTTTTGTCCCATTTAACAGATTATAAAACTGAAGCACACACACACAAAAACTTCCCTGTAGTACAAAGTTACAGAGCTAGGATTCTAAACACAACAATTAGATAAGGTATCATTTAGAAATCCCTAATAGTGAGTTATAGAGCTAGGATTCTAAACAGAGCAATTAGACTGCAGAGGCCAAATTCTTACTGATTATATCATATTACCTCTTTCAGGAAGAATGTTGGGCAATGCTATGACTTTTAGCCAGGTACAAGCAGAAGTGATTGAACAAAGCTGGCTGCATGCTACTCCCCAGTCGAAGATAATGAAGGGGAATATGTTACCCCAAAATATTCCACTTTGGTTTATGGATAATTTTGAGCTGAAGGCAATTGCGAATCAACAGATGCAGAAGGAAGCCTTCTTGGAGCTTCCCTTATCTGACTAAAAGCAGAAACTTCTGAGAAATGAGGACCACCATAAATCCTTTCTCCAGGGAAGTTTTATGGTCACGAAAAAGATGGAAAGTCAGCACCAAGATGAGTCTGCCCAAACCTCCCTAAAATAACACTTATCTTCTGTTAGTTCTGTCATATATTTACCTTCACATAATTTACTGCCCCTAAAAGCCCAAAACTCCCCTTTCCTTTATGTAGTCACTTCCCCACAATTTTTCACCTTTTGTTTAAATGGTATATAACTTTACAATTCTACCCAATACTTTGGGTTTTCCTTGCTTGTTGCTGTTTTGCTGTTTTTGTAAAACCCTATACTTGTAAAAATATTAACATCAATAATATTTGTATGTTTTTTCTCCTGTTAATTTGTCTTTTGTCAGCTTAATTTGCATACCCCAACCACTAAACCCAAGAGAGTAGAGGAAAAGGGGAAAGTGTTTATTTTTTTCTCCGCTACAATAGGAAGAATCACGGAGATGATACAATCCTGAAAGAATTTCACAAGGTGGTAGCTTCCTCCCCATTCTTCTCGAGCTGAAAAATTACAAAAACATACCTTTCCTTGCCCCCTTGTGTGAACTGCAAGGATTTGGTTAGAGATCATCATAATTTTCTTTTCTTTTTTTTGAGATGGGGTCTTGCTTTGTTGCCCAAGCTGGAGTGCAATGGCACGATCTCAGCGCACTGCAACCTCTGCCTCCCAGTTTCAAACCATTCTGCTGCCTCAGCCTCCCAAGTAGCTGGGACTACAGGCATGTGCCACCATGCCTGGCTAATTTTTGTATTTTTATTAGAGACGGGGTTTCACCATGTTGTCTGGGCTGGTCCTGAACTACTGACCTCAGGTGATCTGCCCATCTCGGCCTCTCAAATATCATAATTTTCTAATGGATTTCATATTAGTTACCATTTTGCTGACAGACAATACCAGCTAATTTCAGAATTTGGGCTCTAATGGTGAGCAAACCTAGGGAAATCGCACTTCTTGGGAAGATAGTACTGGAGAGTTAAGAAGAGAATCTCTGCCTGTGTCTGGTGTTTTAAACAAGGGAAGTGGCAATCCCAGATGGGGAGGAGAGTGTTCACCAAGGGTCATACTCACTTGATCACGGCAGTGTGTTTTCTGATGCCACCTGGGAGGGCACTGGCAAATGGAAATGTGGAGGGATATATGGGATCTAAACTTTAATCATGAGGGTGAGACAAACACATCTGGTCTCCATTGCCCAAGGAGGAAACAGAATGGATAGAGACAAGAATGCAGGGGCAATGACCCTTCCTGGCTCTCAAAAGCAAGGTATCCGCAGCCAAGCTGTTTCTGGGATAAAAGGAGAGATCAGAACTGAACCACCCCTGGGTTCAAGTGCCTGCTTCCTGTTTATTGCAAGAGTAAACTACAGCAGTTGCTGAGTCACAGACTATTCCGTCACATGGAGATTATTGTTACCTATCTACTGCATTGGTAGAATTTCATAGGAATAAAATGTAATGGGTATGTCAGCCTGGCAAGTGCTCGTCATGGACACACAGACTCATTCTTATGCTCACCTATCCCTGTTTATTCTCCACACATTAGCACAACACCTAATGTAAACTTTTAAAATCATGAACAGATTAATGCAGTTTCCCCATTTCAACCCTTCAATGACTTGCTATCACCCAGAGAACAAATTCACCCTTTTCCCCACAGTCTACATGGTCTGCCCATGGCTGATGTTCCAACCTCATCTTTAGCACCCACCCCCCACCCCCGCTTTGTCTCCTGGGCTTCAGTCCCACTAATGGATCACTGCCACTTCACTTGCCAAGAGTAAGCATAACCAGGGCCTTTGCATGTGCTGTTCCTTCTTACTCAAAGCCCTTCTCCAGATATTTACATGGTTCATTCCCTCAGTTCATTAAGGTCTCTGCTCAAAGGACATGTCTCAGAACATGCTTCCCTGGTTTATCAAAAATAACCATCTTTTATGCTTGATCTCCTTACCCAACTTCAGTCTCCTTCTGAAACATTACATTATATATTTATTTATTCATCTTTTGTCTGTTTTTTGTAACACACCATGGGTTCCAGTCCTCTCTATTCCAATGCCCAAATCAGTGCTGGCACATAGATAATAAATGTAAGTGATCTTTGCCTTCCTGCTTTCATTCCCTATCCTCTCTGAATGAGACTACAGAATCTCATTCAGAATATATGAGAATCAGAGTTGTATTTTTATAACTAAAGGAGTCTTGCTCCCTCTCCTACTATTATAGGCACCACCACCTTCGCCTATGAAACCCACATTAAGAGTGCATTCTCTGTTCACTTCCTCTTCTGTGTCCTTACAGCATGGAGCTTCCTGAGCTCTGCAACCACGTCCTCTGCTAGGGGGAAGCTGGAAGGAATCAATTGCTCCCCGGAACTGCCTGCTTCATCTTCAGATCTCCTGCTGCATCTCTCTAGTAAGTGCCTAAGCGCAGCTGTGTGCTCTGCAGCCAATGGCTGGTATCCTTATAGGCACCTGGAAAGCTTTATGAGCCTTTATGGCACTCGATACATAATAAATAATAATATACTCCAAGATGATCATTCTATGACTGCTGCTATAATGAACCATTCAGGGGGAAGTAATAACCATGAGCAAATAGAAAAGCAAACAAAGAAACAATATGTTTTGCTGGACCTAAAATGAATCTAGGAACACAGAGAGATTCATCAGAAATTGAAATATTTTGTTGACAAAGGCATGGAGATAATAGGTGTGTTTAAATGTGCCTTTTTCTGAACAGCTCCACTGTGGTCTGCCAGCACACTGTTCTCCTGACCTCACACTCATGGAGGTGGCACAGGGGGACAGGGGAAGAGAGGAGACAAGCGTGGTCTCCTCGTCATAGTTTGTGACCTGAAGCCATGAGTCCAGTGAAAGCTAGTTTTTCTCTGACTCCAACAGGCCAGCAGTTGGGCTCTCAGAAATGAACAATAATGAGGTATGTGATCCTTTAACAGAACCTAGTCAATAAATATATCCTATACTACAATAACTCTTTTTTCAGCTCCTGTACTGGTCAGAGGGACTTGAGGTACAGTGTTTTACAGTCCTTGTCCCATTGAAGGAATATTGCTGATGTCTGAATGTTTAATAGCAATAAAACACAAGGTGCCAAAGATCGGATTCTGTTAAAAACTAATGGCTATACTGTATAATTCCATTTATAGAGCAACCTTGAAATGAAAAAGTTACAATAATGGAGAACAGATCAATGGTTACCAGGGGTTAGAATCAGAGGAAGAGTGTGATTATACAGATATAGCAGCATGAGGGAGTTTTTTTGTAGTGCTGGAAGAGTTCTATATCTTGATTGTGGTGGTGTCAACAGAAATTTATACATGTGAAATTCCACAGTACTGCATATCATCATCAACATCACCACCACCAACAAAAGCTGATAAAAGTCAAATAATTCCTATGGTTTAATTAATAGTGTTGTAACACTACCGATTTTCTGGTTTTGAAAATGTTACTCTTGTATATAAGATGTTGTCATTGGGGAAAGCTAGGGAAAGTACACACAGGAACCTCCAGTATTATTTTTGCAACTTCTGTGAGTCTTAAATTAGTTCAAAATAAAAATTTGAAAAAAATGCAAAAAAAAAAAAAAAAAAAAACCCTAATGGATATATTCCAGTTCTGTGTCCTTTGGAGTAACTATGTTTTTGTTGTCTTTCCCATTGCTGTGACTACACAATCAGGAGAGAATATATGGAGGAGATATTTTAGGACAATGAAAAGCAAATAGTAGCAAATGGGTTGGAAAGAAGACCAGAATTCAAAGCATCACCACATGGTGGTGAGTTTATGCATTTTTTCCCTATGTTATCCTCTAGGCTGAATGCAATTCAAACTGAAACCAAGAGGTGGTCATTGGCACAAACAGAGAGGCCTCCAGGAAAAACTCTCCCATTCTGGCTCCAGGAGGTGAGAAAGGAACTCTGAAATCTCAAAAGGAATGTGGAAATCCTCTGTTGTCAATGTTGTGTTGCTGTTGTTTATCCTCCAAGTAATATCACAGCAGTAGTGGCAGAAGCCTCGCTATTCAGTGGGGTTGGGAACCCAGGAGTGTAGAGAGAGCTACCATTGCCTTTTTCCTCATATATCATCCTTCCACTTGACCCCAGACAAAATGTAGTCATGGAAGTGCATGGCAGGGCAGAAAAAATAAAGTCACAACACTTTCTCTGGAGGACCAAAAAGAGGAGTGCTAGGGACCCTTTGGAGTCTGTAAAAAGCCACTGGATATACTTTACCTGAGAGACTGTGAAAAGGGAGGACACCAAGAAGACATCCCCCATAAAGTAGTTTAAGAAATCCTGGGTTCACTTTCAGTCTGCACATGCGTGGATCTGATTCTACTGAGCATATAAAGATTTAGAGGACAGAACTAATAACGAGATCATTGACCAAGTCTCAAATCCACCACAGGGTGGCACACATGTGGGCAAAATCTGAATAGCACTGTGAGGCACTGAGCAGTGAACTGAGATTGAATTCACAGCCCACAGAAGGCAAGTTGAAACTTGTAGTCTGAACTTATTCAGGTTGCCTTGCCACTAAGAGAACCATATCAACATTTGCCATAGAATTTAGATAAGAACCAGAGTACAAAACATAATATTCAAAATATCCAGGAATTAAGCCAAAATTACTTGCCATGGGAAAAAAAAAAACCACAAGAAACTTTCAGTTTGCATGAGAAAAGACAATTAACAGTCACAAATGTCAAGATGACACAGATGTTGGAATTACCTGATAAAGACTGCAGAGCATCTATTATTCGAAGGGCCTGAGAAGCAATAGTAAACACTCTTGAAAAAAATGGAAAAACGGAAGGTCAACAAATAAATAACATATAAAAAGAAGAATCAAATAGAAATTTTAGAACTGAGAAGTATAGTAACCAAAATGTAAAACTCACTGGATGGGCCTATTAGCAAAAACAGAGAGGGAAAAAATGAAGAGAGCCCCAGAGATCTGTGTGACAATAATAAAAGATTAAAATGCATGTCATTGGAATTTTAGAAATAAAGGAGAATCTTCATAAATATAATAGGCTATTTTCCTCTTCTCTAGTTTTTAAAATTTATTACATGTTTGAAGCAAAAATTATAACATTCATCT
This sequence comes from Homo sapiens, assembly GCF_000001405.40. NCBI lineage: Eukaryota > Metazoa > Chordata > Mammalia > Primates > Hominidae > Homo > Homo sapiens. Next base: position 85,548,923 of record NC_000010.11, read on the forward strand.
GATAACGTTTTTAATGTAAGTTGTTGTAATATGAAAACTATAACGTAAAGGAAGGAAGGTAAGGGGACCTATGTGATGTTAAGTTTTCTATATAATGTACTAAAATTCTTAGAAGTTTACAAAAAAAGAAAGTGTATATATTTTAATTATAAGAGCAGCCAGTAATAAACAGATGAAGTAAAAACCATAATAGATCAATTAAAACAGAATAAAAGAAACTTAAATGTCACTCAATGAAAACAAAAAAGGAGAAACAAATGACAAATAGAAGTGACAGAAAGCAGACAATGAAATAGTAGAGTTAAATACAAATCTGTTAATAATAATCTTAAACACAGCAATTAAGAGAAATTTTCAGAATGGATTTTTAAAAATTACTCAACTATACGCTGTCTACAATAAACTCACTTCAAAGATAACAAAATAGGTAAATGAAAAGAAAAAGGATAGACAATTATGTCCCATGCAAACATTAACCCACAAAAGCCTGATTGGCTATACTAATATGAGAAAAGGATAGTTCAGAGCAGAGAAAATTACAGGGAGTCCTTGCATATGAAATAACAATAACAATCCTACATGCATGTGTATTTAACAACAGAGCTTAAATATGCAAAACTGACAGAAATTAAAGGACAAATACAAACATTTGTGATTATATTAGGAGATTTCAATATATCACTTAGTAATATAGAGAACTAGAAGGCAGATAGTCAGCAAGGACATTGAAGAATTGAATAAAACTATCAACCAATTGCATATAATTGATGTTTACAGAACACTACACTCAATGACAGCAGAATACCCATTCTTTTTAAGTCCACATGGTACATTTACCAGGATACTCCATAACCTGAATCATTTAAAAAACTTTATGAAGTTTAAAATAATTAAACTCTACAATGTTCTCAGACTTTCATGGAATTAAACTAGACATCAATAATAGAAAGATGACTGAAAAATCAGCAAACATCTGCATATTACCTACCCCACTTTAAAATAATCTGTGAGTCAAAGAGAAAGTTCCAAGATAAATTAGAAAAAAAATAGAACTTAAAGAAAATAAAAGCACAAATAGATCAAAGATGTTGTGTACAGTTAAGGAAGTGATTAGACTGAAATTCACAGCAATAAATGCATTTATTAATTAGGAAAGAAGAAAGTTCTTAAATCAATATTCTATGCTTCTAACTTAAAAAATAAGAAACAGAGCAAAATAAATTCAAAGCAAGTTTAAAGAAGAAAAGAGTAAAGATAAGAGTAAAGATAAAAGATAAGAGTAAAAAATTTTTTGTTTAATTCAGACAACAAATATTAAGTATCAATGAAAGTAAAAGCTGGTTCTTTGAAATAATAAATGAAATGGATAAATATCAAGATTGTTAAAAAAAGAGAAAATATATAAATTACCAACAGTAAAAATGAAAGAGGTGCTCTCACTAAAAATGACATACATGTAAGAAGAATAGAGAGTGAATAGCCAGCTCAACTCTATGCACTCTCTTCAATAATTTATCTGAAATGATACAATTCCTCAAAAACTGTAAACTACAAATTCAGACAAGATGAAATAGACAAATCTTCTTACATATATTAAATAATTCGAATTTGTAGCTCAAGAGTCTCCTGAAAAAGAAATTCCAATCTCTGATGATTTCCCAGTGTAGTTATATCAAATATTTTAAAAAATAACATCAGGTGTCGAAAATGTCTTTCAAATAATAGAATAAAAATTTTGTCTACATAATTTCATGAAGCCTGCATCACTCTGTACCAAAACTAAAGCAGGACAGTAGAAAAAAATGAAAACTACAGACCAATATCTTGCATTAAAAGATGCAAGAATTGTCAACAAAATATTATTAAATTTAATGAAGCTACATAAAAATCATCATAATGACAATGATAATCCACCATGATCAAATGGAATTCATCCCAGTAAAATATGACTTGGTTCAATGTTCGAATAGCAATCAATGTGATCCATCACATTTAGAGTTCGAAGAAGAAAAAATACATTATCAGATCAATTGATGAAGAAAAATAATTTGACAAAATTGAGCATTCATTTATGATAAAAATTCTTTGCAAACCAGGAACCGAAAGGAACTTCCTCAATTTGATAAAAGGTATCTACAAACAAAATCTACAGCTACTATCATACTTAATAATGAAAGTGTGAATGTTTTCTTCTTCAGATTAGGAAAAACAAGGAATCCTTTCTCACTATCCCTATTCAACATAGTACTGGAACTTTTAGCCAATGCAATAGGCAAGAAACAGAAATTATTTTTTAGAAATAAATTAGACATGAATAAATAAAACTGTCTTTATTCACGGGGACATGCTTGTCTGTATAGAAAATCCCAAAGAACAAAGATCAAAAACAAATAACAGATGTTGGAGAGCATGCAGAGAAAGGGAGTGCTTATACACTGTTGGTGGGAATGTAATTTAGTACAGCCACTTTAGCAAACAGTATGGAGACTCCTCAAAGAACAAAAAATAGAACTACCATTTGATCCAGCCATCTCATCATTAGGTATCTACCCAAAGGAAAAGCAATCATTATATCAAAAAGGTATCTGCACCTATGTTTATTCTAGCACTATTCACAATAGCAAAGATATGGAATCAACTTAAGTATCCATTAAAGGATGATTGGATAAAGAAACTGTTGTATGTATATACAATGGAATACTATTCATCCATAAAAAGAATGAAATTATATCTTTTTGCAGCAATATGAATAGAACTGGAGGCCATTAAGTAAAACAAGTCAGTAACAGAAAGACAAATACCACATGTTCTCACTTCTAACTGGGAGCTAAATAATGCGTACACATGGGCACAGGGTGTGGAATGATAGAAAATTGAGACTTAGAAAAGTGAGGAACTAGGAGGACATGGACAATAAGAAATAACTTAATGGGTACAATATATGTTATTCAGGTGATGGATACACTAAAAGCCCCGACTTCACCACTAATCTATCCATGTAACAAAATTACACTTGTACCCCATAAATGCATACAAGTAAAAAATGTCTAAAATAACAAAGTTGACAAGGTTGCAAAAAGTAAGTCAATACTGAAAAATTAACCATTTTTTATATACTAACAATGTACAATTAAAACCAGAAATTAAAACAAAAACAATACCATTTATAATAACTCCAATAACAATGGAAACACTTTGGCATAAATCTGGAAGAAAATCAAATGGAGAATCTGTATGTTGAAAACTATAAAGTACTGTTGAAAGAAATTAAAGAAGACCTAAATAAATGAAGAGACCTACCATATTCAGGCATTACAAGATTTAATATAGGAAAGATATTAATTCTTCCCAATTTGATCTGTAAATGAATTCAGTACTAACCAAAATTTCAGCAGAATATTTTGTATAGACAAGCTGATTCTAAAATTTATGAGGAAAGGCAAAGAAATTTGAATAACTAGAGTAATTTTGCAAAAGAAATATAAATTCATTCTGAGAAATCATACTGTCCAATTTTAATAATTACTATAAATCAAGTAATCAAGTAATCAAAACTATGTACTATTGGTAAGGATCAAACATGTAGATCAATGCAACAGAGTAGTGTCCAGAAATTAACCCACACAAGTGTGGCCAATTTATATTTCACAAAGCTACAAAAGCAATTCAATGAATACAAGTATCCTTTTCAACAAATGATGATAGAACAATTTGACATACACAGACAAGAAAATAAACCTTAACCTACATCTCATACCTCATATAAAAACTATCTCTGAATTGATCATACCTCTAAATGTAAAGTGCAAAACTAAAAATTTAGGAGAAACTCTTCAGGACCTAGGGCTATGCAAAGAATTAGAATTCTTAGATATGACAACAAAAGCCTGAAACATAAAAGAAAAAAATGATAAATGGGGTTTCGTCAAACTTAACAAACTTTGCTCTGCACAAGACATTATCAGAAGGATGAAAAGACAAGCTGCAGACTGAGAGAATATATTTACAATTTACATATCTGACAAAAGACATGTACCGGTAGTAAATAAAGAACTCTGAAAACTTGACAGTGAAAAAACAAACAACACATTTTTTCCCAATGGGCACAAGATGTTGACAGACACTTCACCAAAGAAAAAACATGGATGTCAAATAATCACAGGCAAATATGTTCAACATCATCAGTGACTAAATGAAAAATTAGGATCGTGATGAAATATCACTGCCACATACTGAATGTCCAGACTATACACTACTGTCAATATCAACTCCTGTCAATGATGTGGAGCTTCTGGAACTCTTGCACATTGCTAATAAGAATGTAAGATGCTGCAGCTGCTGTGAAAAATGGCTTCTTTAGTAGCCTCTTCTAAAGTAATCATATGCTTATCATATGGCTTAGCAGCTCACTCCTGGGTATTGACTCTACAGAAATGAAAACTTATGTTAACACACAAAAATCTATACAGGGATACTTATATGTCTTTATTACTAATTGATCAAAACTAGAAATAACCCAAATGTTTCTCAATTAGAAAACAAATAAACAAATAGTGACACATTCATACAGCGTGGGTATCCCTCAGCCATAACAAGAAACAATCACTGATACACGCAAGAACATGGATAAATCTCAAAAGCATCATGCTGAGTGATGCAAGCCAGTCTCAAAAAGTCATGTATTATATGATTTCATTCATACAGTAGTCCCCAGAAAAAAAAAAAAAAAACTATCATGATGAAAACAGATCAGTGGTTGTCAGAGGCTGTGTGTGAGTGAGAGGTGGCATATAAAGAGTTTGCATGAGGGAATTGTTTTAGAATAATAGAATGGTTGTGTATGTTAATTATGGTGGTGGTTACATAGATCTACACATGTATTCAAATTCATAGAAATGACAGTAGTAAAGACAGTGTGGTACGGACAAAAAAAAAAAAAAAAAAAAAAAAAAAAAAAGACCGATCAATGGAGCAGAATAGAGAACCCAGAAATAATTCACATAAACATAGCCTACTGATCTTTGACAAAAGAGCAAAGACAATTCAATGGAGAAAGGACAGTCTTTTCAACAAATGGTGGTGAAACAACTGGACAGCCACATACCAAAAAAAATGAATCTAGACACAGGCCTTATACCTTGCACAAACATTAACTCAAAATGAATCGAAGACCTAAATGCAAAACTATAAAACTTCTAGAGAATAACATATGAAAAAATCTAGGTGACCTTGGGTTTGGTGAGTTTTTAGATATAACACAAAAGCACAATCCATGAAGAGAAACTGGATAAGCTGAACTTCATTAAAATTAAGAACTTCTGCTCTGTCAAAGACACTGTTAGGAGAATGACTGAGAAAAAAACAATTGCCTATCAGCTATCCAATGGCTAGTATACAAAATATGCAAAGAACTCTTAAACTTCAAAAATAAGAAAGCAAACAACTCAACTAAAATGGGCAAAAGATCTGAACAAGTAATTCACCAAAGATTTACAGATAGCATACAAAAAGATACTCAACAACACGTCATTAGTTAATTACAAATTAAAATAACAATGATAAACCATTGCTCACCTATCAGAACAGCTAAAATTTTAAACTCTGACAACATCCAATGCTCACATGGACATGGAGCAACAGAAACATTCATTCCTTGATAGTGGGATTTGCAAAATGATTCAGCATTTTGGAAGACAGTCTGGTGATTTCTGACAAAGCTAAACATCATTTTACCATACAATCCAGCAATCACCAAGTAAATTTACCCAAATTATTTGAAAACTGATGTCCCACAAAAACCTGCATACAGACATTTATAGCAGCTGTATTTAGAACTGTCAAATCTTAGAAGCAGCCAAGGCATTCTTCAATAAGTGAATGGATACACTATGATACATCCATACAATGGAATATTATTCAGATTTTTTTATATGAGCCATCAAGCCACAAAAAAGACATAGAATAATCTTAAATGCATAGTACTAAGTTAATGAAGTCAGTCTGCAAAGGCCATATTCTGTACAATTTTAACTATATGACTTCAAATTAGAAAAAACTATAGAGGCAATAAAGAGATGAAGGGTTGCTAGGAAAAGGGTGGATGAGAAGAAGGTAGGCATGAGTAGGTGGAGCCCGGGGGACTTTTAAGGCAGTGAAACTATTCTGTATGATATCGTAATGGTAGATACATAACATTTATATTTGTCAACACCCATAGTACTGTGTAACACAAAGTGTAAACCCTAATGTAAAATATGGAATTTAATTAATAATAATATACCAATATTGGTTCATTAACGATAACAAGTGTACCACATGAATGCAAGATGTTAACTGTGTGCAGGGTATGGGGGAGAGGAGTAGTATATGGAAACTCAACTTTCTGCTCAATTTTTCTGTAAATGTAAAGCTGCTTTAAAAATAATGTATATTAATTTTAAAAGCATAGAACTGTACACTCTGAAAGAAAAACTCTACTGATAATTTCAAAAACAAACTGAAAATAAAAGCAACCTAGGTGTATAATAACAGGTGAAAGTTTATATGTGCACACAGAAAAATCCACTCGTTCATCATTCAACAAATATTTATTTAGATCTCCGTGGACTCTTTATGTCATAGTAAAGTAAAACATACATGCTCAGGATATTACCGTTTTTTCTTCTTCTTCTAAGAAAGAAGTTAATTACTTCTTTCAGTTAATTAATTCTTCTTCAGTTAATTACTGTTGCTTAATCTGTATCTCTTGCAACTCTCCAGTCTGTGGAACTGTTTTCCTTCTTTCATAGTCAGCTTAGGTTTTCTGGCTGAGCATTTTCTTCACTCTCTTGCTGCTACCCTTGCCTCACTTATCCTCTTGCCAAACTCGTGTGATATGTGTGCTGTCATTCACCTATTTTCCATCTTCGCCTTCTCACATAGCTCAATGAGCGCTGTGGGAGAAAGCCCCGAAGCAGCCCTTGGCATGGTGGTCACTGCATCAACTCTGACTTCAAAGAGGCGCACAGCACTAAGCAGTATTCCTCTTCTATCTTTCTTGAAAGATTTTACTTCGCAATTGTGATTTTTAAATTTCTCCATTTAAAAATAATAGCTGATCCCACCACCCTGTTTGCTCTCAGCAGTTAAGCTTTTGTCACAAGTAAAATAGGAGTTGTCCCATGAGCTCTACCAACAATTTCCACTCTAAACTGACAAACGTAGACTCATCCTGATTCATTGCTCTTTGTTACTGCCTGTTAAAATGGAAAGCTTCTTCCTCAAGGAGTGTTCTTGCTTTCTTGGGACCTCATCCTATCAATTATTTCGCCATGATTTGCTCTACTATTGTCAAAAAATCTCTGTCTACAAACTTTTCCTTAAAAGCATTCATACTTTATTAAATCTTTCCCAGCTTTGGAAGAAAAAAAAAAACTTCAAATAAACATTAGAGCTTACCTCCTATCTCAATAAGGGAAACCTTATCGAGAGCCCTTTTCATTTCTCACTTTCTATTCACTTCCTGATTCCAGTCATCTGATTCTTTGCCATGCAGCCATAAAATTGTATTCAAAAAGATACTAATGCTTTCTTTAATACCAAATCTAATTGACACATTTTTATCTTTATTTTCCTTGATCTTTGATCGGCATCTAAAATTTTCTTCCCTTGGTTTCTGTGACTTCATGCTCTGTTCTCTTCCTCATTTTTTTGTTTGCTCTTTCACAGACTCCATTGTCAGCTTTTGTTCTTTTATATTTCATTTATATGTTGGTCTTCATACTGTACACATAGTCCCTGAACAACTTCTTTCTTTCATTCTTACAGATCCGATTATGTATCTTAACTCCAGAAGTCTCACTCTTGAATTTGCTTTATAACCAACCCCCATCAGCATCCTCTACTTATATTTCCAAGAATACCTTAGAATTGAAATGAAAATCAAAACTCTTTATCTTCTCCCCTTCTTCAATAGTTTCTGCTTTAATTGTCTATCCAATTATCTAAACCAGAATCCTGGGATCTAGCCCTAACATATTCCTCTAATGCCTCATATCCAATCAATTTCCAAGCCCTCTTGGTTTCATCATCCAAACATCTCTTGAATGCGATATGTTACTCTGCAATGTCAATCACAGCCTAAGTCAAACTATCATCATATCTCATATAAATTATGAATTTTGTCTTTTAACTGGTCTCCTGGCTTCAACTTTGTTTGCCTCTGGTATATTTTTTCACACAGCAACCAGGGTTATCTTTCTCAAGCAGAGTTCCGATTAGATCACTCCTATGCTTAAAATAATTCAATGGCTCTTCTGGTATTTAAGCTAAAATATCATCTCCTTAGCAGAGCTCACACTCTTTCACAATTTGACCCCCATCGAACTCTACTGACTCAGCTTTCATCACTTCCCATCCACACTCTATTTCCCAATCAATCTGAACCATGTGCAATTTCCAGGATGCACACAGTTCTATCTCATGTCTACAGGTTCTATCTCAATGCCCTATTCTCAAAGAATGGAACACTCTTGAACTTTTTTTGCCATGCTATCTTCTATTTATTCTTTAATTCTCAGTTCAGATACCATCTACCCTAGATATCTTTTTCTGGGTAAGGACTGCCACAGTACTCTGTATTTATTTCTATCACAGCGCTTGTCCCACTATTGTAATAATTGGTTACTTGCCTACTCTTACACTAGTGGAACTTCTTGAGGGCAAATTTAAAATGCTGCGCCTAATTGATCTCCATGTTGCTGTCCAGACCCACAGACGATCAAGGAATGTTTAAAGAAGGAAGTTAGAAAATCAGAAAGAAAGGAAGAAAAGAAAGAAGGAAGGGAGAAAGGGAGAGAGGGAGAGAGGGAGAGAGGGAAAGGATGAAGAAAAAAAAAAAGGAAAGCAAAGAAGGAAGTACATGCCCTTTAAGATTACAGCTATGTAAAGGTGCATCATACTAACAGATATTTTGTTCCGGGTATGAGATTATGGGTGATTCACTCCTAGTTATGAAACTGTGTTTAAAGTTGTTACATTGTTTCAATAATTAAAATGTTACTGATTTTTGTTCTACAAGTATGTGACAGGTACTCCTGGTATGACAGAGACTGCTCTCTGTTCTTCAAAAGGTGTTTCTTCTTCTTCTTCTTCTAGGCGCAGGCCTAGACTGGGTTTCATAGCCTTCCTCTCTGCCAGTAGGGCCATAGGACCAAGTTCCAGCAAAGAGACTATGAACAGTAGTGACATGTACCACTTCAGGATTTGATCCTCAAATTCCTCTCACAGTGATCCTCTGCTCTTTCTTCCTGTCTGGAAGGTGGCCAGAGAGAGCATCATGAACCTAAAGGAGGGGAGAAATACAATTTAAAAAAGTCCAAGTCCTTGAGTGATTGCTTGAAAAGTCTCCCTACCAGAAACACTCGATTGGGCTTTATTTGGGTGAGATTGAGTTTCTATGGGGTGAAATTATTGAAGTTTGAGAATTTATCTATATGGCAGTTAAGCTAAAGTACTATACTTGGTGAACAGTTTAACATGGAACCACCTAGATACTGAGATGACCTTGATTTATAATTGGCTTGTTGTAGAGCACATGGGAAGCTGATATCACCAAAGCTGATTCCTACAGCTATGGAAGGATAAAATTTATCAGTTAGTAAAAATAATTCTATCACGAACAGTTTGAATGTAAGGGAATACTAGATACAATATTGTCCATCCCTCCATATTACACGTGGGAACTCGGAGGTGCAGAAAGGGAAAGCTGAGTCATGTGTTGCTAAGTCACGCTCTGCTTTCAACTTTCCCAACCACATGTCAGGATGCCTTGTCTGGGACAACTCACAGTTCATTGATTGTCCAGATAGCAACATGTGTGCTCTGGCTGCCTAGACGTGACACTCCTTTTCAAGCCTCCATGGGCACTCTTCCTGAAACTGCCTCTGTGGTTGAGGAGGATCACCTTCTCAGAGAGAGGAGAATAGTTCTTTGACGAAGAGCATTCAAGGAGCTGAAATTCCCTGCTAGAACATTTAGAACACTTAGTCCTCAGCCAAGAGGGTTCTTGTGACCTTGGACTAAGAGCAAACTTGCTTAACCAGATATGAAAAAATAAAATAAAATAGTATGAGGTAAAAATGAATTAATTAATTTTGTTATATTGTATTTTAAAATTTCTGTTTAGTAAAGAATGCTGTCGATTTTATTAACCAATGACAGACTGGGAGGTGATTGTGGAAAGATATAATCCCTTATTCATTTCTGGTAGAAGTGCAAAATGAGATGCCATTTGGGGCTATCTGATTTAGAAATATCTGGGAGTGTGCATGGAAGTTACATATGTGCACACTCTATGATTCATCCATATCACAAAGAAAATTTCTGCATAGGTCTACAAGAGGTTGAGTAGAAGAACAGAAGGCATTCAACTGTCCATTGCTAGAAGAATAAAAGTCAAATGGGAAGGATGAATACTGTAATAAAATGGATCACTGAGAATTTATCAGAACATTGATGATCTGCATAGTACAACATAAATAAATAGAAAACAAGCAAGCAAATCACTGAGGGAATTAAGTATAAAACTAAGCTGTATATTTTGTGTAAACAGATATATGTGTGTATGTATACATATCCACATATATATCTGCATATAATGTACACTTAAAAACATACAAAATAGCATAAGATTATTTTTCCTTTTTGTCAATAAAATGTTCAGGCATAGAAAAATATACATCATTTAACCAAAAACTTATAAATGTTTCCCTTGGTTTAAAAAATAAAACATTTCAAATAAAATTCAACCCCATAAGTAATTGAACATTAAACCTCCAAGAACATATTCTCTTATCTCTGGCAAGAGTTTAAAATTAGTCTGCCCTTGCTTATACTTTTATGCTCCTCCTACATATGTATTTGTGCAGAAACAATATACAGTATTATTTTATATGTTTAAAGCTTTCTAAAAAAGATATCATACTGCATGAATCCTTTTGCAACCAGCTTGATTTATTTAACTTTGTGTTTTTGAGTTTTCTCTCTGTTGTTGTTTGTACATCCAGTATGTTTATTTGACTGTACAGTATTTCATTGTGTGAATATACTACCTAGTACTTTCCTTGTCATCATGGGCAGATCATTTCAATTTTTTGACATTACAAGTCATTTTGAAATGAGCATTTTTGTATATGTCTTCTTGTTCACATGTGTATGAATTCACCTATGGTATAATACTAAATCTGAAATTCCTATAACAGTAGTGTTTGCATTTATCTAGATATTGTCAAATGATTCTCCAAAGTGGTGACTCCAATTATATTCTCACTGCTACCGCATGGATGTACCTGCGGTACATCCTTTTTCTTTACTGACATCTCTGCTAACATGTGGCACATTCAGATAATATTGTTAGTTGTTGCCTTATAAAATTTATTTATCTGATGAATACGAGAAGTCTTCTGAGGTTGAGAATCTTAACATGTATTTATTTACTCTTTGGGGTTTACTTCTTCATATCTTTTTTTTTGTTTTTCAATTTTCATCTATTTTCTTATTGATTTATAGTAATTCTATATACACTACTGAATGCTAATTCTTTGTCAGTTTTGTGCACAGCAAATATGCTTCCTGATCTGTGGGTTATCTTTTCCATTTGTTTGTATTTTTGATGCAGAATATTTTTAATTAAAAGTTTGAAATCCATCTTTTCTTTATGTTCACGTGGTTCTTGATGTATTTGAAAAAGCATTCTCCAATATCGAGGTCATAAAGATATTTGCTATATTTTCTGCTAAACATTTTAAAATTTTACTTTTTACAATTACATCTTTAACCGACTGGAATTGATCTGTTTTTACAGTATAAAGATGGGATTCAATTTTTTTTTCATATGGATAAGCTACTATGTCAGAACCTTTTACTGGAATGATCCCTTCTTCCCAACTGCTTTGTAATGCCAGCTCTGTTGCACGTCAATTTTCCATCTGATCAATATGTTTTCATTGTCTACCATGTATTCAACTGTGTTCTAAGCACTAGTTACGTATCAGTAACAAAATAATTACACCTGATTCTCATTCTGCATTTCCATCCTGTTTCTTAGAGTTGATATCACTATGTCTAAAACACTGTTTAATGACTATAAGGTTTATTTGGTCATGTTATCTAATAAAAAAGTTCCTCTCCTCTTATTCCTCTTTTTTTCAAATTATTCTGCCATTCTTGCTGCTCTTATCAAAATACACATATACCTAAAATATTAATATATATGAGTACAAATATAATTTCTATAACAAACCTGTGTCTTAGGTTGCTTTCCCCAAAAGCAGAGCCTGAGAAGAATTCTTGTTGAAGTGCTTCTCTTAAGAAAAGAAGAATGAGAGAAGCAAGAAGCAAGGTAGATGGAATACTATCCAGCTGTAAAAAAGAATGAAATCATGTCCTTTGCAGCAACATGGATGTAGCTGGAGGTCATTATCCTAAGCAAATTATTAACACAGTGACAGAAAACCAAAATACAGCATGTTCTCACTTATAAGTATGAGCTAAATATTGGGTACTCATGGACATAGACTTGGGAACAATAGACACTGGGGACTACTAGAGGAGGGAGGTAGAAGTGGGGGCAAGGGGCAAAAAACCAATTGTTGTGTACTTTGCTCACTAACTGGTGACAGGATCATTGGTACCACAAACCTCAGCATCACACAATATACCCCTGTAACAAATCTGCACATGTACTCCCTGAATATAAAATAAAAGTTGAAATTATTGTTTTAAAGAAGCAAGGTAGGGGTATCTCTCATACAGCTAAGGGCAATAATTCAGTAAAGGGGATTATCGGGGGTCTTACCAGTCAACATTCACGGCAGCTAGGGGATGTGGTGGGGCACCTGCATTATCCACCATAATCTGTAGCACTATTTTTTAAGAATAAAAATATGCTCCAAAACATGTAGATTTTACACACTATGGATAACCTGATGGGAGAGAGATGGAGTTAGAAATAGGTGAAAATTAAAAAAAAAAAAAACTAAAAGAATTTTCCTCTAGATTGTTGAATGATGAAGTTCTATTGCCCATTTCTGTATCTGTGACACAATAAAATATTGATATAAATAAATACGTAGTGATGAAAAAAATACACAATTCCATCCCCAAACACACTCTTACCCTTTAAAAACACTGCTTTGCCAAAACTGAGAAAGCCTTGTGAATAGCTATGGTCTATAATTTAGGAGGTTTTTGTTGAGCTTTTGTAAGTCTCTACTAATGAGTCAGTGTTCAGCCACTGTTCAGTTGTAGCTTTTAATTGCAAACTTTGGGACACTCTAAATTAGGGGTATATGAAGCCAAATTCACTAAAACCCAATGCATGCTGATGGGCTTAGTTATTTTTTCCCAGTGTGGACTTATGCTCAGCCTCAACTCTTACGTATATTTGCATTGTGAAGAAGAAAAAATTTTGCATTTTGATTTATTGATGCTTAAGTCCAAGGCACATTGTTTGCTAAGGCTTGCCTGATATTGAGGCTGTCTCAGGAGTAGTATTTTTATATGCTTGCTATCTTGCAAACAGAATAAAATTTATGTTACACAGTTTAACCATTTTGTCTTGTTTCCTGATCATCCAAATGCATAGTTACCTTACTATAATATCCAGGCTAATATTGTTATCCTCACTACCTCACTTGAAACACACAAATCAGACTCCAGTCTAACTTTTATAAAGGTAGACTAGAATCAGGAGTCCAACAATATTGTGGAAGCAGTTAGCATACATCTCTATCACAATGCAGCATCCAGTATCCAGTACACAACATACTGCAATATCCAATGCAGTATTTTAATGTCTAAAAGAAAAGGAAATCTAGAAACCATGAGTAAAATTAATGAAACAATAAGCCCTATAGATGTCTCTGTAGAAGTCTGGTGTGATAGCATGAAAGACTCAGACCTCAGAGGGAAGGGCTGGGGGTCTTGGTGCTGCCTCAGAAAGAGAACACTTAGCTTTTGGCTTGAATTTACCAGAGGATGAGCTGAGCAGCTCTGCTCAGAATCAGAATCATAGAAGGATTGTACCTAAGTGATAGGAAGAAGAGAATACTTACACTCTCTCCCCAGGACAATGAGAAATGAAAAGTAAACATGCTTCTGCCTAGGGCTTTGGGTGGGTAAAAATGTCTTCTATATCTCCTGTGGAATTAAACTCATAAACTGCTTCATGTATGCAAATGAAATCAAAAGTTTGTCTAATCCTATGAATAAAAAATAATTCACAAATAAAAAAAGGTTAAATCTAGCTCCAAACTGTTGAAACTCGTAGGCTATCTAATAAAAATAAATCAAAGCTATTCATATTAACAATTATAAAAATTAGAATATATAATATTTCTATAGACAAAAATAGCCTCTGCTGAAGATGTGCTTACATAAAATAAGATAATAATCTACCATGAGAGTCAGAAGACATAACAAACTGAAAATTAAATCGAAAAAGGAAGCACAAAGGAAGTATATGAAGAAAATCAATATGAGATCAAATTAATTAAATAAAAAACAAAATATGATCAAGAGGATTGACAACAAAAATTTATACTTTAAATAGAATTCAAAATTGATTTAAAAATTTGTTAATGCTAATGAATAGAAAAAAGAGAGGACAAATTTCCAAAATCAGAAATAAAAAATAAAAAGACATCAAATTTAAAAATAAAGGATATTATGGTCAACTTTTGGAAAATAAATGTAAAAATTTGAATAAAATCAAAAAGTCTTAAAAAATTATTACAACTGACCTAAGATCAAAGAAAACATAAATTGTCCTTTCTCTATTAAAAAACTGCATTCTTAAAAAAACACATAAAAACCTCTTCACAAATAAAAGAGCAGTTTCAGATGGCTTCAAAGCACAAGATTGGCAAACTTTAATAAAAGAATAACACCAAGCTTATAAAAATATTTCTAAAGAAGTAAAAAAAGTCAGAGCACTGACTATTTTATTTTAAGAAACCAGAGTTAACATGGTATTTAAACATGATGAAGGAATTATAAGAAAAGAAATGTACTGGACAATCCACGTATAAAAAAAATGAAAACTCTTAAAGATAATATTTGTTAAAAAGTCAGTAATACATACAAATTATAACATACTACGTCCAATTTAGGTTTATTTCTGGATTGCAATTTGCTTCAGTTTTCAAAAATTAATCAACATAATATATCTTGTTAATGGAATAAGGGATAAAAGTTTATTATCTCAATAAATACCTAAGTATAATTTGATAAAATTCAACCTCTATTGATGACAAAAATTAAAAAGAATTTGAAAATCTAGAATACAAGATTTTTCTTAATCTTTTAAAAAAAATCATCTGGTGTTTTAGCAACCAGAATGTTAACTCTCGTGTGTCCAATCAATTTTATACTGATTTTACCACATTTCTGTGTGATAAAATAAGGAAAGGAAATGAAAACAAATGTATATGAATCAGAAAGTGACAAATAAAACTAATTATTTGTAGATAATATGGAATTTTAAAGTATAATGACTAATTGCAAAATCTATGAAGAATAGAGTAGGAAAATAAATTTCATGATATTCCTATAATGGAATATTACATGACTAGACAAAATGAATGAACTAAGACTTTACATAAAAACAGAGTTGATTCTTTTATAAATACATTGTTGAGTAAATAAACCAGACATAAGAAAGTCTGTATAATTCTGTCTATAAAATTTCAAAAGTTGGCAGGACTAACTTGTGATGGTAAAAGTCTGGATAGTGGTATAATTGAGGAAAAAGAAAAGTGTAATGATTGAGAGGGGACATGAAGGAGGATCATGGGTTCTAGTAACATTTCTCGGAAAATGCAGTGATCATGCCAATCTGTTCATTTATAATTATTCACAAGGTATATTCTTATCATTTGTGTACTTTTCTGTATAATAGAATATGTTTTTAATTTTTTGAGTTTATAATCAAACAAGTCACAGAACAGATATTAGAATACTACTTTCTGTATAAGAAAGGATGAGAAATTAATACCTATTTATGTAATCTATCTACACACACAAAACAGGAAGCAATGCACAATTGTTATTTTTAAGAGAACAGAGTTAAAACAAAATTCTCACAGTATAATTTTTATACACTTTTGATTTTGAACCAAAAAAAATTTCACATATTTAAAAATAGACTTGAAAAAGTAAGCCTTAAAA
This sequence comes from Homo sapiens, assembly GCF_000001405.40. Lineage (NCBI taxonomy): Eukaryota > Metazoa > Chordata > Mammalia > Primates > Hominidae > Homo > Homo sapiens. The sequence goes on from NC_000010.11 coordinate 85,565,129, forward strand.
ATAAAAAAATCAACTGAAACAGACTTTCTTCTTTTGTTAGTATTTAGAAAATAGAACAAAACCATTGTTTGTACACTATCAACCAAAACAAACTGGTTAAGCAAAAAAAATTGTAGGTTTTATTTTTTTTTCACCAAAGCCTATCAGAAACTTATGAATGCAAATACACTGCATTCCAGAAAAAAAGATAAACATATTATGGAATAAAAGAGACCGATGGCTCACAGGGAAGTGTGAAGAGGAAAATTTCATCACTGGTGAGTTTTAAGAGAAACTGTAAGAACTTTTACAAACTTGCCAGGGCCCAGCGTGAGCCTGCATGATGGTGTGAAATTCTGAGGCACCTGGGCTGCAGAACAAGTCTGCCCCACACACCAATTCTTTCCCAAGTGTCTTCACTGAGTGCTCTTGGGTAGTGTGTGTCAGTGGCAATGCAGGGCAGTTGCTGAGATGCCATTGAGGTGCATGGACCCTCCCCCAAGGGCAAGGCAAGAATACTCCATAAGCAGAGAGGCAGGAAGGGAGCTGAGAGACATGGATTTATCAAGGCAGCCAGGCTTTCAACAACTGAACAGCTGAGAGCAGAGAAAGAGCTGGGAGAAACTATAGTTGGATATTTCACACTCCTCTCTGAGTAATTGATAGAATAAGTGTATAAAAAAGTAGCAAAATACAGAATTTGAAAAACATTGTCATGGAATTTGACCTAAGTGGTATTTACAGAACACTTCACCTCAAAACTGCAGAATACCCATTATTTTCAATTGCATATAGAGCAGTCACCAAGATAGACCAATATTCTGGGTCACAAAGCAAGTTTTAATCAATATAAAAGAATGGAATCATGTAGAATATATATATTCTCCCACCTCATTGCAAACCAAAAATAAAATGCTAAGCCCCCTACCCCAGCCATATGAATGGATGCCTCCTCTAGGCCAAAGACATTCCAAATTTAACCTAAAAAATTTGTTCAGGCCATGATAGAAGGGGCAGTTGGACATGCTTCATTATACCCTCCCCAGTTTTGCAATTCAGGAAAAGCCAGCCAGCATTAACATCAACACATATCTTAAATCTGATCAGACAATCTATTCTCTTTGAAGCCTGCTACTTGGAGGCTTCATCTGCATGATAAAAACTTGTTCTCCACAACCCCTTGTCATAACCAAGATATTCCTTTCTATTGATAATAACTCTTTCAACCAACTGCCAATCAGAAAATTTTTGAATCCACCTATGATCTGGAAGCTCCCACAAATCCCCACACCCCACCAGATTGGTTAGATCTAGAAGTTGTCCCACCTTTCTAGATTGAGCCAATATAAATCTTACATGTATTTGATTGATGTCTAATTTCTCCCTAAAATGTATAAAACTAGGCTGTGCCACAACCACCTTGGGCACATGTTCTCAGGATCTCCTGAGAGTTGTGTCACAGGTCATTGGTCACTCATACTTGGCTCAGAATAAATCTCTTCAAATATTTTACAGAGTTTGACTCTTTTGTAGACAATAAGGATTTTAAATAAGAAATCAGTGGCATTAAGGTATCCAGAAAATTCCCAAATATTTGACAATTTAGTAATACCACTTTAAATAACACATCAAACAGGGAATTAAAAAAATTAAAAAGTATTTCAGCCTAAGTTATAACTAAAACACGACATATCTAATTGTGCGGCTCATAGCTAAAGAAGTGCTTAGAGGAAATTAAATGGCTTTAAATGATTGTATTAGAAAATAATAAAGGTCTCAACCAAATTACCTTAGTTTCCAACTTGAGAAACTAGAAGTAAAGCAAATTAAATCAAAAATAAGTAGAAAAAATTAATAAATGTTGGAATCAATAGAAAAATGACATAAAAAATTGATAACTCAAAACTTTGAAAATAATAAAAAAATTAGTCAAAATCCAGCAATATTAGTTAAGATACAGTGAGAAAATGCAAATATCTAACAACAGAAATAAAATAAGAAACATAATTATAAATTTACCAACATTGAAAAGATAATAAGGGAATAGCATGAAGAATTTAATGATAATAAATTCTTTGACATAAATTAAGTGAACAAAGCCTTGAAGAGTAAAACTTACCACAGTTGATACAAGAAGAAATATAAAATAAAAAAATCCCAATATTTACTAAAAAATTCAACTCATACTAAAAAATATTTCCACAAAGAATATCCTAGGCCCAGATGATTTTTTTAACAATTCCATGAAATTTTGAGAGAGATAATGTGAATTCTAAACAAATGTTTTCAGAATAAATCAAAAATTCTGCACAATTTTTTGTAGTACTAAAAAGGAGTAAATGGTTATTCTAACATATTTTGTGAAACTCATAAAATACTGATATTAGTACCTGACAAAGACATTGGAAGAAAAAGTTACAGATCAATATCTCTCATGAACATGGACATAAAATCCTTCATAAAATGTTAGTAAACCTTTCCCAGCAATACATAAAAAGAATAATAAGTCATGACCAAATAGAATTTCTCTCAGGAATGCAAGGTTGTTTTAACATCTGTGAATCAGGCAATGTAATTCACCACATCACCAGAATGAAGAGAAAAAAATGATCACTTCAGTAAATGCAAAAAATCATTTGATTAAATTTACAGCCCCTTCATAATAGCTTTCAGGAAACCAGGAACATAAAAGAAATTCCTCATTCTGAATAAAGGACATTTACAAAACAAAACAAAACAAAAAAACATCTAGCTAACATCATTCTTAATGGTAGAATATTGAATGATTTTCCACTAAAATCAGAAAAAAGAACATATCTACTCCTTAGTTTGCATTCAGTGTTGTACTGGAAGTCCAAACTATTGAAAAAATAAAGAAGGAAGGAAAGAAGGGAAAAGGAAATAAAGATTGGTTGGGAAAAAAAGAAATAAAACGTTGACTGTTATTACTTGTAATAATGACTGTGTATGTAAAATACTCAATGAAATCTACTAAAAATCTACTAGAAGTTAAAATTACATTTAGCAATTTTACAAGAGGCAATGTCAATATACAAAAACCAATTATATTTTTAATACTAACAAATAATTGGCAAAAAGTTATCAATAATATAACTGTATTATGTAAAATAGGAAAAAATAAGTAATATTCAAGTCTCATAAATTGAAGACTATAAAATGTTGACTATAAAATATAACTTAAAAGTTAATATTATATCACTTTGCCATCAATATGAGAGCCTTATTTTGATATAGTTTGATATTTATCCTTGTCCTTTGCACTGTTATTGCCTATATATATATATATATATATATATATATATATATATATATGCATACACACACACATACACACATACATACACACAGGTATATAATTATTGCTTTAGAAGTTATGTCTTCTAAAGAAATTAAGAGAAAAAAATTATATGGGCTGTCATATTTCTCCATATGTTTTTTTATTTCCTGGGCTCTTTATCTCTTTCTGTTAATCTGAATTTCCATATGGTATCAATTCTTTGCAGTCTGAAGCAATTTCTGTAGCTTTTTGTGTGAAGACATGTAAAGACAAATTCTCGCAATTTCTTTCCCTGGAAATATTTTTATGCTGTTCTGATACTGAAGAATAGTTTTTCTAGTTGTATAACTTGTGTGTGTGTGTGTTTGTGTGTGTGCACTTATACACCCATGTACATTTCCTAGCACTTTAAAGGTGGTCTTTTTCTATCTTCTGGCCTCCATTGTTTCTTCTCACAAGTCAGCTGTCATTGAAATTGTTTCCTTGCATGTAATGTACATTTTTTTCTGGCTGCTTTACAGGATATTCAATCTCTCTCTTTCTCTCTTTCTCTCTTTCTGTCTTTCTCCCTCTCTCTCTCTCCCTCTCTCCTTCTTCCTCTCTCTCTCCCTCTCTCTCTCTTTCTCTCCCTACCCAATCTCTCTCTTTTTTGCAGCTGGACTATGATCTGAATAGATGTGGTATATTTATCCTGCTCCTTAGTACTTGTCATTCTGAGGAGTCAACTGATTAACTAAAAGCTCAGGATTTTCAACAGGATCCTTTCACTCTAGCTGTTTGAACCACTCCCTTTGACTCTGGCCATTACATAGCCAAAGAAATCTCTATTCAACCCACAGTTGCCCAGCAACTTTTGTCTACCTGACTGTGTTTCTGCATATCAGCAATGTAGTATTTGGCCAAAACCTTGAGACCTGCTGCTGATTTTTGAAGTTCCTTCTCTACACAGCTACCTTTTCTCCAGTACCCTGCTTTGCTGTCTCTAGCTGCCTCGAACTTTCAGATCCTCTGATTTCTGTAATCTCAGTTCCTCTAAGCCCCTAAACTTTCCTAGATCGCTACATCCCTGCAAAGCAGTGCAGAGTGCCCCTCTGCAAAATGCCAGGGCAATCACAGGGCTCACCTCATGTGTTTCCGTCTATCTCAGGAAGCATATTGCTGTGTTGCAATGTGATTCCATAATCTAGAAGCTTTGCCTAATATACTTCTTTCCAATTTTTAATATTTATTTACAGCAAGAGGGATTATCTGGTACCAATTGCTCTGTTATAGCAGAAGGAGAACTTTACAAATTTTTGTTTTTCAAGTTTTTAAACATTCAGAAATTGTGAAAGAATATTAATAATTGTTAGCACTTTTCTACTTCTAAAAAATTCTTTTCGTGTACAATTTTTTACAATGACATTTTAAAATAAGTTGCAGGCATAATAATAATTCACTCGTAAATGCTTATATATTTCCTCTGAATAAGGACCTTTTCCAACATAACTGTAATACCTTTATTATAGTTAAAATTAATAATAATCCCATAGTAACATATAATATGCATTCTATATTCAGATTTACCCATTTGCCTTCAAATTGTCCCTGTAACTGATTTAATTGTTTGGGAATTACAGAAAGGCCTTGTTTTACTGATTTAATTATTTATTCCGGATCCAAGGCCCAATCAAGGCTCACGCATTACAATGCATTTGTTCTTATTTTTCTATGATCTCTTTTAAACTAGAATAGTTTATTGTTTATTGTTTGTTTATTTGTTTCCTTTTAAAGAGTCAGGTTACAGTCTTCTAATTGAATTTTCCACAATTTGGACTTTTCTGATTGTTTACTGATGCTATTGCTCAAAGCATTCCTCTATTTCTGAATTTCAATTAAATTTAACCTTAGGGCTAATGATTTATTTAGATTAAGATTAGATATTTTTGTCAAGAATACATCATAGGTGATATCATAACTTCAAATAACATCTTATCAGAAGTCAAAAATGCCAGGATGTTTCACCATAAAGGATGCTAGTTTGGATCATTTGCTTAATGTAGTTAACACCATCTCTCCATTTTAAGATAATATTTTTCCCTTTATAATCAGTAAGTAACTGAGCAATAATATGTGTCACTGTGAATTTTTTTTCCAAAAACATTTCACCCACGGGTTTTTGTACCCATTGCTAGTATTTTCTCGAGTAAGTTTTTATATTAGGAATTGCAAATTCATGATTTTTAAATTATACATTGATTAGCTATCATTTTTGTAAATACTTTTTAAAATTCCCCATAATTTCTATACTTAGAGAAATTGAAAGCTATTGAATAAGAATTAGAAAAATGTCATTTTAAAAATCAGCATTTACAGGTCATTTGTCCCTTTTGGAGGTATCATATATAAAATTGTAAGGTTGGGTGTTATGAGGCCAAGGGGAAAGTTCCACTTAGCCCTCCTAAAGTTTGCTGAAAAATCAACTTGCAAACACATTTGTCTGATCATAGTTTTCTATGACACAGGAGCCTTCAGAAAAAAGGGCCAAAGATACAGGGAAATTGTCCATTTTTGTGGTTAGGTTTCACAAAATGTGGACAGCTGTGTAGAAATATAACTGGACTAAAAGGGTATGATCTAATGCTAAGAGCCTGAATGGGGAGGCAAGGCCTGTCTGTCTAGATTCTTCTGGGCCTCTCTGCACAGCATTTCTTCCTTCAAGGCATGGGGCAGGACCTTCTCTGGAATGGGGTCTTATGACTTACAGTGAAACATGGTAGATCACATAATTTCTTCATAGGCAGTTTTTACACAGAAAGGCGGAGGGAAAATTAGAGTAATATTTCTAGGTTTCACAGCTGGCTTTGAGGAAAAGAGGTTCTGATTTCTATGTCCCACCTCGGGGAGGAAGGATTCTGGCTTCCATGGCTAGCCTCGGGGGAGAATGAGGGGCCAGAGGTCAGGGAGAGACCTGTGCTTCTGAGGCTGCTTCTAAGGCCTTCATTTTGGGAGTTTGTTTCCTGAGTCCCAGCAGTGTCAAGGTCAGGCCAGTCTGGCTGGAGTTTCCTTCCTCAAAGGTGAGCTGGTAGCTCCAGGCCTCTGAAGCTCCAAGAGCCATTGCCCGGGTCTCTCCCATGGTCTCTGCACTTCCCATGGAGCTGGTTCTGGAGAGGGCCTTTCCTTGTTAATTTGGTTAAAAATGGCCAATTTCCCAGTGGGGACATGTGGGCTTCTGGTTGCAGTGGAGACTAAGGGGTATGTATCCCCAACTGACTAAATGCTTGCCAACCAGCTTCTGTAAAAGCAGATTTCATACCCAAGGGCACCTTGTCTTTTCGGGGCTGATTATCCTCTTTCAAGCCAAGGAGAAATAATCCCTGACAAGCACTCATGAGCATAGCTGCAGCACATCCTGTTCCATTTTATCTTTGCCTTATTTGCTTGGAGTGGTCAATTCCCTCCTTAACAGAAATTGAGAGGAATCAATACCTTCCTTCTTAAAACCAAAACAAAAAACAAAATATCAGGTAAAAAGGTCAGCTCTTCTGAAAATTACTCAGCACCCTGAAGCTCAGACAGCTTAAACTGGGGGAATGTCATCCTCAGCCATTTTTCCAGGCAGAAGGGACTCACCTGTTACTGTGAGCGAGGTGTGTAATGAGGCTTGGAGGAAAAGGGACAAGGAGCTAAAATTATAAAGCATTTTCTCTGAACTTGTTTGCACTGAAGCATCTCCTTTAATAGTCATTTGCAATATTCTTATTATTTGTCTTGCTTTAAAAATTAAAAAAAAGAGAGAAATTGTTGACAGACCAGGTCACTCGTCCCAAGTTATATGGCTGGAAGGCAGTGGAGTTACATTTGAAAATCAGTTAGCAGAGATAAGGGGCAGTGGGACTTCCAACCCTAGATTTTTCACAGCCCCACTGACAAAGACATTCTTTCAGCTCTGTCTAACTCCTTACCCCTACCACCTGGTTTTCAAATGTAATGCCACTGCCTTCCAGCCATATAACTTGAGACAACTGACCTGATTGCTCAATAATTTCTCTTTTTTTCTTATTTTTAAAACAAGATAAATAAAAAGAATATTGCAGGTGACTATTAAACAAGACGTTACAGTACAAACAATTTCAGAGAGAATGCTCTATGATCTTAGTTCCTTGTCCCTTTTCCTCCAAACCTCATTATACATTTCACTCACAGTAACCATACAAAAGAGAAATCCCTATTCCTACTTCATATTTAAGGATACCATGGCTGAGAGAGCTAATTGCCTACAGTGACAGGCACTAAGTCACCTTGCCCTCTCTCCTGACCCTTGTCATGAGCCTCTGATGGACTCTGCACTGTTAACTCATTCCCAACTTACTACCTACTGAGGTATTTTCCAGAAGTAGGACCACCAGTGCTAAAACCAGGGCAGTCTAGGGCAAACTAAGATGGCTTTTCACCCTAAATTCCCCCTCCTGGACGAAACTATTATTCCTTTTTTTGTTTATTTTTTTCTTGCTGAGAGGGCATCACATTTACTCTACTGGTTTATCTCAATTAAGTCCTTATTCTCCCCAGAGATAATCCCTGCTACCTTCATACACTCCATCCTGATACCATCTTTGTGTCCTCCTGGTCCTCAGCCATGGTCTCATTTAATTTTGGGTTGTTTAAGCCAAAGAGGAAGATGGATATTTTTCCTGACACGTAGCAATCTCCTGTTAGATTCAAGACTGATTGACCTTGCTCTTTGATCTTCTTGAAACTTGTTTTCCCCAGCTTTGTTAAGGTATAATTGGCAGATAAATGCATAAGGAAAATACGACATATGTGTACAATGGTATACTATTCAGCCTTAAAAAGGAAGGAAATCTTGTCATTCGCAAAAACATGGATGAACCTGGAAGCTATGCTAAGTGAAGTAAGCTAGGCACAGAAAGATCAATACCACATGGCTCACTTACATATGCAATCTGAAATTATGCTCTGTATGATTCCTCTTCATGAGAGGTTTCAAACCCAGGGGATCACGCACCCTAGCAATATGCATCATTACTATCCTGATAGGCTTTGGGCCCCTGAATACTCAGTGCTCTGCTCTGACGTTCCAGAATCTCACTTTGGTCTGGGACATTCCACACATCGGTGGACTGTCAGGCTATATGTCATTTGCTCAGATTTACTAATAAACCCTGAACAACAACAACAAAAAAACCCAACACTGGAAGAACACACAGCACACACACACACACACACACACACACACACACACACAAAAGAAAGGAGAAAGAAAAAGAAAGAAAGAAAGAGTGAGAGAAAAAGAAAGAAAAGAAAGAAAGAAAGAAAGAAAAGAAAGAAAGAAAGAAAGAAAGAAAGAAAGAAAGAAAGAAAGAAAGAAAGAAAGAAAGAAAAAGAAAGAAAGAAAGAAAGAAAGAGAAAGAGAGAAAGAAAGAGAAAGAAAGAAGAAAAACCTACTAGCGGTACATGGAGCATGTGGGTCTTATATTTCGTATCAGCTGGGTTCCTGTCACTTTGTGTGATTTTAGACAAGGCATTTACTTCGAGTCTAGTTCTCCTTGCTATAAGAGGGAGTAATGATTAAATGATTTGCTCTCAGGAACAACTTAGAATAGTACCTGCGATACAACAGGTGCTTACTAACACCTAACTTCCTTTTTTCTGTTAAGCTGAGAACCATGACTTTTCTTCCCCAGAACTTGCAGGCTGTGATGGGCACACAGAAGTGGGTTTTACTGGATTTCCAGCAGGATTGGATGGGCCCTCCTGGTACGGATGCAGTTGGTGCCTGTAGGGCCAGCATGAATGCCATCTTGTAGAAGCCAGAGTGTCTCAATTTCTTGTGCAAGATACGTGGTGACCAGACACCCCTGGGAAGAACCCAGAGTCACTCCCAAGTCCACCCGAGTCCTCACTGACTACATAGTGCTGAATGCAAACATGGGTACTAATTGAATAAAGCTTCCTCAGGATCAATATGGCTTCACTCCAAGTAAGCCTACTATTTAAATAAGTGAAACAAAATGCTACTTACTGGCCTCTGCTATTTATCTCCTAATTACGAGCATATTTGGCTGACTCAAAACCAATTTATGTGTAGAAGTCAAACAAAAAGGTCTCATTACTAAAACCTGGACATCCTTTTATGCAAATGAAGTGCTATGATATACAAGGATTTACTATGAACAAACAAAGCTGAACTTGGATGCACATGTGCTTCCAGTCAAAAGAAGTTCCCAACTGGGTAGAGCCCTGGACTGCCTTTGCTATGTGTCTTTTGTGGAGAGGGAAGCCAACAGCACCATCTCCAGCCTGCAGCCTGGCACACACAACAGCAATGGAGGCAGAGCAAGGATATTACACTTGATCTTAGCCAAAAGACTGAGAAGTGATAGAGAGCAAGAATATTGTTGTCCACCAAAACAGCCATGTGAATGGCCCTTCCCAATCCCTGGTCTTAGTTGCAAAATCTTCTCTACTCGAAAACCCTGCACATCTGCACATTTTCAGCCACTCACAGTCACAGCCACATTCTGAGGTCATATGTATCATAAAAGTATAAATATCCACCTACTCCTAGAGAGCTTACCATGTTCTATACTGTGCTAAGTGCTTTATGTGCACTACTACATTGAATTCTCACTACAAGCTTTTGACATAGGAACTATTATTATCTCCACTTTATAGATTAGGCAATTGAGTTCCAAGTTCACACAGCTAATAACTAAGAAACAAGACTTATACACAGATGTGTCTAACATCAAGGTATGTGTTTATATCAGTTGCACAATACGTTTCTTTTCTACAGTCTCTGTTTAACCTTTCAATGTCTGACTAAAGTGTGTCCCTTCACCTGTCCCAATAAAACTGCCCTGATGTGAGCTCACGGAGAACTCCAGCCTTCCAGTCCTGCTCTGTCTTTCCAGCCCATCAAACCCAGACCAGCTTCACTTCTTTCCTATCAACCTGGCGGCTGTTATCAATCATTTCAACTACGTGTTTACTAACTCCCTCAATTCCCCTGATCCCTTAATCTTTTTCTGCACAGGTTCTCATGATGTACAGGTCTGGATTAATACAATCACCTGTTTTTCCCTTTGCGGCCCAGGGAACATGGAGGCCATTGGACAAAATCTGCTACATGTGTTTGAATTCAACCTTTGTGGAGCTTTCAGTCTCACTGCAAACCCTTTATCCTGCTCAAGTTGTCTCTCTTTCCTCTTCCCTGCAGTGATGGCTCTCAGCCTTGTCTTTGTCTTCAGGCTCCCCACCAGGCCCCTGCCCTCATTCTCTCAGCTGATGAATAAGTGGTCTGTGTTGCTGGGAAAATTGAGATCCTTAAGGGTGAACTCCTTCAACTTTTCTCTGAAAATATCCCTTTATCTTCCCTCATTTTTTCCCCACCTGTTGCCAAGATTTCAGATATCACAGTTTTCAACAAGACCTTGCTTTGTCAAAAAGCCTCACCCAAACCTGTGTTGCCACTGAGTGTCCACTGTGTCTTTATGTTTACCATCCAATGTTCCATCGTTCCTCTCCTGAGTCCCCTACAACCTCCCTATGGCCCCTCTGGGAAGAGTCCACTCCTTTTAATGGAAATTGGAAGTTGCTGATAGTGCTTATCATACCTCCTTCTGAAACATCCTCCTCCCTTGATTTCTGTGATAACACACTCTTAATGTTTGGGTGGCTACTTGGGGTATTCCCTTTGACCCTTTTCTTACTCCACTCTCTCTTCACTGAATAGATTTCATCCAAAGACATGAATGCAAATACCATCCATACTCTGATGATTCCAAAATCAATTTCCGAATCTCAGATCTTAACTGAAAACTAGAGATGTGTACTTATATGGCAAAAATGATGTGCCAAGAAATAAACCCAGGCTCCTCCTTCTAAACCTAGTTTTTTGGGGGTAATCCTTGTTTTAAAGACATTAAATTTGATCGAATTACCCAAGGTAGAAACCTAAGAATTATATTTTAAGCCAGGAATGGTGGCTCATGCCTATAATCCCAGTGCTTTGGGAGGCTGAGACAGGAGGATTGCTTAGGCCAGGAGTTCAAGATCAGCCTGGGCAATGTAGCAAGACCCCATGTCTACAAAAAATAAAAAATAAATATCACATTTTATGTCTTCTTTTCAATTGCTCTCATACATATGCCCAATTGATATTAAATCCCACTGATTTAATTTCACTTATTAATTCACTCAAAAATATTTATTTGAAATTTCCTCCATGTGAAGTAAGTAATTTCAGCTGTAATAATGCACAGTGCCAGGGACACCATGCATTAGGTACAACATAATGACCCTGTGAGTCATGGTGCTACGCCATGACTATAATAATAAAGATAATAGGGATATAGATATAATAATAAGGATAATAATAGGTAATAGGGCCTGCCCTTATGGCTCTTAAAATGTACTGTAGGGACATGACCATAAACAAGATCAGCATCAAACAAGTGAAAAATTGCAAGAAAACATCAGAAAATGATGATTGAGCCAGGAACTGAAGAATGAGGGAAAGAGAAAGAATTGAATAGAAGTCAAATGGCTCCTGCACATAGTACTGTAGGCAAATGCCTCAGGCAGGAGCATCATGGGGCATAATTGCCACCAAAAGACCAGTGTGGCTGAAGCAGAAATTGGAGGAAAACTGTGCAAAATGAGACTGGAAATTAGGAGGAAAGCAGACCATGCAGAGCCTAGACCACATAAAGGAGCTATGTCTTTGTCTGTTCTAACAGCATTGGCAAGACAGTGAAAGCATTTGCAGATATTCAGCATGAGAGAGAGAAAAAGAAAAGCGAATTTGAATTTTGAAAAATTTTACTCTGGTCACAGTGTGGCAACCAGCTTGGTGAGGAGCAAGGGTCGAGGCAGGAGAATGTTGAGGCAGCAATGGCAATATCTCTGGCAGAAGGGGTGGTGGTCTCTTGAATGAGTAGGAAGGCAACTGGGCAGAAGACAGGTGGATGGGTTGGTGAGTTATTTAGGAGATAAAATCAACACAATGAAGTGTTGACTATGGAAGATTAAGGAGAAGAGGACATCATGTCAGGTTCCTGGCTTTTCTAAGTGGACGGATGATGGTCTCCTTCACTGACTTGGAGAATAGAAAAAGAAGATTATGCGATGGAGGACAGCACTGGGGACTGTATCTTAATTTCAATTTTGAACATATTGGTTTGCAGGGACTTTCAGCCTTCCAAGAAGAGATATGGATTACAAGTTTGAAACTCAGAGGAAGATGATGCTGCATATGAACGCGTGTACTGTCTGTATATAGATGATAAGTGATGTCATAATGTAGATGAGAATGTCTAGGGAGAAAAACTTGAGTGAACTGAGAAGACAGACAGCCCGTGACCAAATTCTGAGAACTCCAACCATTCACTGGTTGAGTGGAAGAGAACAAGCTCAGAAAATAAATGGAGAAAACATGGTAGGAGGAGCAGAAGAAAAATGAGGAGAATGCTGTCTCATGGAAGACAAGGTAAGAGAGCATTGCAAGAAGCAGAGAGTGATTATCAGGACCAAAGGTGCTGAGAATTCAAGAAAGAGGTCATATGGGAATACCTCTATTCAGTAGAGCTACTTGGATGTGGAATTATGAGAATGTAAGCCACAGTAGAGTGGTTAAGAAATAATGTAAAATGAAGAAATAAGATTTTCTTTAAGAAGCTCAATAAAAGAAGAGAGGAAGCGGAGCAATAGCTGGGGGAATGAGATTAGGATTTTATGTGTATTTAATGGAAATGGTTTGAACAAATTAAAGGCTAATAGACAAATCTAGTTAACAGAAGGAATCTATGTATAAGGAAAAAATAATTAATACCTGTTTCATTGCTCCTGGGAAAGTAAGAGTGGATAGGATCTGGTTTCCAGGATGAGATGTGGCTTTAATCCCAGAAGAAAGTCTACTTTATTATTACAGCAAAAAAAGGGGGCGATATTGAGGACAGATGCAGGTCATTCATATATTTATAATTGGGGAGATAAGTAAATTCTCATTTGAAAACTTTTACTTTATTTTTTATTTTTCTGTAAAGTGGATATGAACTGACAAAAACCAATCCTAAAAAAGCACATAAGGTATATGATTTCATCTATATAACATGCTAGAAATGATAAAATGATGAGAATGAACAACAGATTAGTGGTTGCCAGAGGCTAAGGAGAAGCAGAGGGAAGTGGGTGTGACTATACAACAGCAACATGAAGCATCATGTCGTGATAAAAATATACTTTATCTCGGCTGTATTCATGTCAGTATCCTGGATTTGATATTATGCTACAACTTCACAAGATGTTATCATTGGCAAAAACCGAGTAAAGAGTACAGGGAAATTCTCTTATTACAACTCCATGTGAATATGTAAGTATCTCAAAATAAAAAAGTTTAATTAAAAAATGTTGAGTAAAGGAGAGGAGGCGTGTTTATGCATTTAAAAAGTGTGAACAGTTTCTGGGGAAAGTAAAGAAAGAATTGGCCAAAAAGTCCTAGTGAGATTTCCAGGTCTCTTAGAGATTGGCAACCATGAATTTACAAGGACAGCAATCAATCTGTTCTGCTGTGTAGCTTTCATCACCTGCACTCCACCATCTGGGGATAAGAATAGAGAAAACAGGTGGTTGGGTTGTTCAGGATACGGGTGCACCAAGCCAGTGCAATAACAACAGCAAGAAATGAAGGACAATTTTTCTCAGATCCATGTCTGTCCTTTCCATCCTCCCTGCTGGTGCTTTGGTTTAGAATCGTGCTTTTGTATCTCCCTCCTCAACATGTTCAAGCTCTTTCCTGGGCTACTCCCACACCAGCATTGTAATTTAAACAGCTTATCCTTCAAATTCTTGGGCCCAGAAGTGACAACAACTGCAACTATGCCTTCATAGCTTCTTATACATTAGTATATTTTATTTATCAGTGTTCTCTAGAGAAACAGAGCCAAAAGATTGTGTGTATAGATAGATAGACAGATAGACAGAGAAACAGAGAAAGAGAGAGGGGACGGAGGGTTGTGGGGGAGGGACAGAGAGAGAAGAGAGAGAGAGAAGGAGAGAGATGTATTCGTTTATGTATTTTAGGGAATTGGTGCACATGGTATGGACCCCAGCAAGTCCCCCTCTGCAGGTCAGGTGGGGATCCAGGGAAGATGCTGGAGACCATGTTACAGCTCCAATCCAAAGGGACTCTGAAGGTAAAATACCCTCCTTTCGGGAAAACTCAGTTTTTTTTCTTAACACCTTCAATTGATTGAATGAAGCTAACCCTTAGTACAGAGGTTAATCTGATGTTCTCAAAAATCTATTGATTTAAATGCTAATTTCATCTAAAAATGATACCTTCACAGCAACATGTAGACTAGTGTTTGACCAAATACCTGGGCATCACGATCCTAGCTAAGTCAACACAAAAAAATTAACCATCACATCCATTATAACTAGAGTGATCACACCATTCATCATTCTAATGGAAGTTATTAATAATTGTTAGAACAATAAGCACAAACTGGGGCTGTCTCTGGCAAACCAGGACATAAGACCATCTTCATTACAGTCTCATCACAATGTGTTTTGATAGCTCCATGGGAGTTCCCATGGATCTCTGTGTCCCTAGAAAAAGTTGGTGCCCTGCACACTGTTGTATTCGAGAAATGTTGACGGCCCCTCCTGGCCTATCTTGGTTTTTATTTGTCTGTGGTCTGTCCTTACCACATAGTCCATTCCAGGTACTCCCACCCATCTGAAATCTCTCGGGTTTATCCAGAAGAGGATAGATTCATATTTTGTTAGCCTCTGCTGGCACATCTGAAATGCCTGAAAAGGAATAGTACCCAAAAACAAAAAGAGAAGAAACTATTATCTTCAACTTAAGTGTACACAGGACATGTCCCTGGGCTCAAGAGTAGCTGCCATTGGGCTGATGGCCACTCCACTTGGGCCCTGATCTGAGCAGGGTCTGAGAATCACACTCAGTCCTAAGACCCATAACTTGGGGTACCTGTATCCTGCCTTGGCATTGTTCCAGGCCTGCTTAGTTCTCAGTATTCTGGGTGTCCCTTCTCTCCCAGCTTTTAGGTCTTGGCAGGGACATCTCCGTAGCTAAGAACCTCTACCCCTCTACACTGCAGAATCTTTGTATAATCCTGAGTTCTGTTCTGCTAGTTCTATTCTGATCAAATTGCCTCTTCCTGAAAGCAGGAACTCTGGATCATCACCAAGTCCCAGACTGAAAAACCCACCTAGAACCTAAATTCCTTTGACAGATATGCATAGCTCTTGGAAATCACTCACTGTGAGTGCAGAGAACTGCCGCCAAGCCCCACGGGCAGGTTCCTGCTACTGCTGGCATGTGGCCATGTCATATTGCTGATTCTAGTTTCCTGTGTCATTGCACTATGCCCATCAGCCACAGATGCATCCAAGACTGGCTACTGCCTCCCAGCTTATTTGAGTTTGCTTTTCTGCTCACTGGGAACCTGTAGGCCCTGCCTCAGGGTCTGTTTGCATTGTCATATGTAGACTTGCTATGTGCTCAGTTCCAACACCAGTTCTTGGACTCTGCCATACTATGTTTTCTGCCCTCAGTAACTAAAAACCTCCCAATCCATTTAGTCTAGGGTTTGTCCTCCCATTTTGTGCAGCTGCAGGGAGAATGTTTAGTGCAGTAGTTAAGAACAAAGATGTGAGGACCAGACTGACCTAGGTTGCTCTGCGGTCTTAAGCAGGTTACACAAAATCTCCTACTCTCCATCATCTGATCTCACAGTTTTATTGTGAGGATTAAATGATGGAACACGTGCAAAGAGTTTGACATGATGCCTGTTACTGAGTCAGCCCTCAGCATACAAGCCTAATACAGGGTTTGAAATCTGGCCCTAGTGTTCTGCCATTCACCTCCTCTGGGTGGTAATATGCTGGCTAATGTTTTATAATCAGCTCTCTGAGTAAAACAAGGCTCTGATTTATAGTGCTTGCTGATTTCCATGGTGTAAATATTCCCATC
This sequence comes from Homo sapiens, assembly GCF_000001405.40. Taxonomy (NCBI): domain Eukaryota; kingdom Metazoa; phylum Chordata; class Mammalia; order Primates; family Hominidae; genus Homo; species Homo sapiens. The sequence continues at coordinate 85,581,412 of NC_000010.11, forward strand.
ATGGCCAATTTCATGGTGCTAATGTGATGTTACTGAACACAGAGTTGAGAAAAGATACACACAAGAGGTTTTCATGAGCTGGTAAGAGCAGGACGCAGCACACCAGTGACATTGGAGCTACACTGGCCCAGTGCTTATGCTCTGACCTGGATCTTTTATGAGGAACTCATTTCTGGCTCATGCTCAAGAAGCTGTCTCTCCGTGATGTATTAAAGAGCGGTCTCCTTCACATTCTTGGGAGTGATGCTGGATAAAGCATGTAGTCATTTCATCTCTTCAAATAAGATATTACAGATGATTCTGATCTGCTGAGATGCAGCAGCCTCTTCAATTGCAGCCAAGGGTCAGCTCATGATATTGATGGTAAGGACTGCCCTTCTGGGAACTTTCCAGAGTTCTCTACAGCACCTCTGCTTATTTCATTGGTTGCTATGAACACCTGCCTGAAACTTTTACTTCTTACAAGAAGTGGCCCCAGGACTCTCATTTCTGTCTATTAATACCAATACTTCCAAGAGCAACAACTAGAAAAGCTGAATGAAATGAAAGTAACATTTGTTTGCAGGTATTAGGGAGCTACTGAATAACCAAGAGTTAAAGGCCACAGTCTTGTGAGGAACTGCATGAGGCTTTTCCTATTGGTCATTGCCACTTTGATGTCTATCATGGAGATAAGTGCCTGCCAGAAAATGGAGAAGAACCCAACAAAGAATCAGCAGCTAAGCAGCGCTCTCCATGTATCACGAAAGTGGGGAAACGAAGGCTGGAGTCTGGACCAATCAAGGCAACCCAATCTTGAGGAACCCAAATCCTGGATAGTGAAATGGGGATATTAAGATGAGAGCCACACTGTGTGCCAGTCTTCCTATTGAGGGATTAGGCTATTTGTAAGTTGTTTAGGAAAAAAGACTAAGAAGCAGAGGAATAAAGACACTAAAATGATGAGTAGAGTTTTTGGCCATTTCACTATGCTGGGGAGAAAAAATATGGAGATGAGAATAAGTCATAAAAAGGGGTGTTGGTAAACATAACAGGTGTTCAGGTGTGATCCCTGAAGGGCTACAGTTTACTAGTGGGGATAAAACAGAAGTGAAACAGGAAATTTTCCTGGACCCCTTCATGGGTGGGAACTAGAATGTGGGTGCTGGAGCTAGCCAGTGGCTTCAGAGGCTTCACTCACTGGGATCCACTGCATTCCACCCCTTGTGAGAGGAGCAGTGCAGCTGAGCTTGTGCAGGAAGGAGCCAGGGCAAGTGCTTCTGGGCACTGTCAGGAGCAAAATGCTGTGCGGGGCCCATGGCAGCATCTATGGGAGAGTACCCACTATCCCCAAAGCCCCAGAAGGAGTGTTACAGGCAGTGCTCTTTCAGCTTTATCATCCACAGATGGCTTAAATGATTAACAGCTTAGTGGACGCTCTGCCTTTTTGCAAGGGTAGAGGGTCAGCGTGACAGCCTTCTGTATCTTGAGCTCTTGTTCAGCATCCAGGAAAAATCAGGTCACATGAATGAATTGAAGGATAGCAAATGTGGGGGATTTTATTGCCTATGGAAGTGGCTCTTAGTGGGAAGAGGAGTTGGAAAGGGGATGGAGTGGGAAGGTATTCTTCCCCTGAAGTCCCACCATCAAGCTGTCCCTCTGAAGTCAAACTGCTTCTCTCCAACATTCAGCCACTTCCTCTCTTCTCCCCTTCTCTGCTCTCTGCCAGTGGAGCTTGGAGTTTTTATGGGTACCAGGATGGAGTGCAGGGCAGTCCAGGTGTGGCTTTGGAAAAGGCAACATTCGAGCAGGAAAACGGGCATGTAAAGTTCTCACTTTGGGCTGTGGTTCCAGGCTTGAGGATGGGGCCCTCGCCAGAGACCCCACCCTTTTCTGCCTAGAATTTCTCTGCTTCCTGTCCCTATCAGAAGTAGTCAAAATCTTTTAAGAAGTGAAACCAGCCTGTAATCCCAGAACTTTGGGAGGCCAAGGTGGGCAGATCACCTGAGGTCGGGAGTTCGAGACCAGCCTGACCAACATGGAGAAACCTTGTCTCAACTAAAAATACAAAATTAGCCAGGCGTGGTGGCTCATGCCTGTAATCCCAGCTACTTGGGAGGCTGAGGCAGGAGAATCAGTTGAACCCATGAGGCAGAGGTTGCAGTGAGGCGAGATCGCACCATTGAACTCCAGCCTGGGTAACAAGAGCAAAACTCCATCTCAAAAAAAAAAAAAAAAGAAAAAAAAGAAAGAAAGAAAGAAAGAAAAGAAAAGAAATGAAAGCAGGCTCAAGTCAGTTCCATTCCTGAATAATTGAGATTATCTTTCTTGTTCTAGTTGCCCGCTATATGATAGAGTAAATTATCTCTGGGAAAAGAGAATGCGGTTCTGAGCCTACATAGTGTTTCATACACAATATCTGATGCTCCATAAAATATTACCGAGCATTTTTTAAAGCCTCTTCTGGATTCTAGACCTGCATGTAAGGAGCTTTGAGGTCTTCACTAACAACAAGTAAACAAAAGAAAAATACATAAACTGAAAAATCAACTCTTCTTAGATCTGTCATAAACGTAAGGTCACAGGATAAACCTCCTCCCCAAAAATAAGAGAGACACACGAGCGTATACAGAGAATCACAACTTGCCAGAACAGAGACCCACAAGCAGAAACCTCTGTGGGAACAAATACTGGGGCAGGAAAACCCAAACTGTAACTGGTGAATTGCTGAAAGCTCAGTGTGGATGAATCTGAGAGTTAGAAACTCCAGTGGGGGCAGGCATACAGAGGCCCCTCACTTTTTATGAGTTTTACTTCCAGGAGCTCTCTCAGGTTCTCAAAGTGAGTATCAGAGAAAACTTTCCTCATGTATTTGAAAATAGAAGGGAGAAGTAACCATTATGAAATATGCCAAAGCATTCTGTTCTTAAAAAGGCCTGTGGTCAATAAAAAATATCTTACCAAAGCCTACTCTTTTGTGGTTTTAACAGAGCCTAACCAACCTGGAGAAAGAGAAAGACCCAACTCTAGCCCACTCTAGTCAACCTGTCCTACCTGGAGCAGGGGTCAGGGAGACTGAGAAGCCCTTGTGAAGTTCATATTCAAGGGGCATAGGATCACAAAAGGACGAAAGCCTAATAATCACAGAGTGATAGAACACTTCACCTGCCCACCACATTACTAAAGATCTGTTATCAGAATTCCTTTTACTGAGTATGTCAGTCAGGCTTACGACAAAAAGTCACAATATATACTAAAGGCAAAATACAAAAAAAAACAACAACAACAAAAAACAGTTTGAAGAGACAGAACAAATATCAGAACCAGACTCATATATTTCAGACATGTTGGAGTTATCAGGCCGAGAATTTGGAACTATCCTTAATAAGCTAAAGGCTCTAATGGAAAAAGTAGAAAATACGCAAAGCAGAGGTAAAATGTAAGCAGAGAGATGGAAATTTTAAGAAATATTCAAAAAGAAATGATATAAATCAAAAACATTGTAACAAGAAGAATACCTTTGATAGAGTAATTCGTAGACTGGATATGGCTGAGGAATGAATCTCTGAGCTTGGGCATATGTCAACAGAAACTTCTAAAACTGAAAATCAAAGAGAAAAACATGAAAAAATAGAACATAATATCCAAGAACTGTGGGACAACTACAAATGATGTAACAAATGCTTAATGGGAATATACGAAGAAGAAATAAAGAAACATAAAATACTTGAAGTAATGACTGAGAATATTCCCCAATTAATGTCAGACACCAAATCACAAGTCCAGGAAGTTCAGAGAACACCAAACAGAATAACACGACCCTGCTTCTGAAATGAAGAATCAAAACAAGACAAAAATACACTACACCTAGAAAATTTATATTCAAACTGTGGGAAATCAAAAATTAAAAAGTCTTAAAAATAAGACAAATGTAAAAAACATCTTACTCATAAAGGTTCAAGGATAAGGATTACGGCCGGGCGTGGTGGCTCACGCCTGTAATCCCAGCACTTTGGGAGGCTGAAGCAGGCAGATCACAGGGTCAGGAGATCGAGACCATCCTGGCTAACAGGGTAAAACCCTGTCTCTACTAAAAATACAAAAGAAAATTAGCCAGGCATGGTGGCACACGCCTGTAGTCCCAGCTACACAGGAGGCTGAGGCAGGAGAATCGCTTGAACCTGGGAGGTGGAGGCTGCAATGAGCCGAGATCACGCCACTGCACTCCAGCCTGCTGACAAAGCGAGACTCCCTATTAAAAAAAAAAAATTACGTCTGATTTCTCAGAAAAACTTCAAGCAATAGAATGAAGTAAAATATTTAAAGTGTTGGAAGAAAAAACACTAGCCTGGAACTCTGTGGGTTGCAAAATTATCCTTTAAAAGTGAAGGAAAAATAAAAATATTCTCATACAAACAAAACTTGAGGAAATTTGTTGCCAGTAGACCTGCCATGAAAGAAATGTTAAAAGAAGCTCTTCAGAAAGAAAGAAAATGATATAGGTCAGAAACTCAGATCTACATAAACAAAGGAAGATCACTGGAGAACGAACAGTAAAGATAAAATAAAAACTTCTATTTTTCTTGTTCTTAATTGTTCTAACACGTAACAGTTTGTTCCAAATAATAGCAACAATTTTTTAATGATTATAGCTTATGTATAAGTGAAATGAATAAGGGCAATGATTCAAAGAACAAGAAGGAACAATTAGGAATATTTTGTTATTATAAGGTACTTGCACTGCCTGTGAAGTGGTATAATATTTCCACTTTCAAGTGGACCTGGATTAGTTGTAAATATATATTGCAAACTCCAGGGCAACCACTAGGAAAAAAAAAAGAAGTATAAATTATATGCTAAGAAAGGAGAGAAAATAGAATTATATAAAATGCTCAAGTGAAGCCACAAAAGACTGAAAAGTAAAAAATAAAAACAAAGGCAATAAATAGAAAAGTTATTAATCCAACTATATTAATAATCATTTCAAACATGAAATATCTAAATACACAATTAAAAAATTGTGAGAGTGGATCAAAATTCCACAAGAAACCCACTTTAAATATAAAGAAACATATAGATTAGAAGAAATGGAGAAAGGTATATCATGCTAACACTAATCAAAACGAAAAGGAAGAAGCTGCATTAATATTAAACAGAACAGACTTGACAGCAAGGAATATAATCAGGGATCAAGAGGGGTAAACATAAAGGGATAGATTTACAATAATATACAACAATCCTTAACGGGTGTGTACCTAAAATGAGAGCATCAAAATATGTAAGGCAAAAACTGATAGAACTTCAAAGAGAAGTAGATGAATCCACTATTATATTTGTAGACTTTAGCACTCCTTTATCAGAAATGGACAAATCCAGCAGGCAGCAAATAACTAAGGACATAGTCGAACTCAACAGCTCCATCAATCAACTTGATATAATTCACATCTATAGACTACTTCATCCAATAAAAGTATAGTACAAATTCTTTTTAAGCTCATGCAAAATATTTACCAAGATAGATCAATATTCTTGGCCATAAAAAAACAACAATTTTTTTTTTTTTTTTTTTGAGATGGAGTCTCGCTCTGTCCCCCAGGCTGGAGTGCAGTGGCGCGATCTCAGCTCATTGCAAGCTCCTCCTCCCAGGTTCACGCCATTCTCCTGCCTCAACCTCCCGAGTATCTGGGACTACAGGCGCTCGCCACCACGCCCGGCTATTTTTTTTGTATTTTTAGTAGAGACGGGGTTTCACCGTGTTAGCCAGGATGGTCTCGATCTCCTGACCTCGTGATCCGCCCGTCTTGGCCTCCCAAAGTGCTGGGATTACAGGCATGAGCCACCGCACCTGGCCCAAATTTTTTAAAAATAGAAATCATACGATGTTTTCTCTCAGAACAAAATAGAATTAAACTAGAAAACAATAATAAAGGTAGGTGAAAAATCCCCAAATACTTAGCAATTAAGCAATGCATTTCTAAATAACATATTGGTGAGTGAAAAAAATCTGAAGAGAAATTTAGAAATATTTTGAACTAAACAAAAATAAACAGTTCATCAAGAATTGTGGGATGCAGCAAAAGCAGTGCTTTGAGAGAAATTTGGAGCAGTCACTGTATATATACTTTTGTAAAAAGAAATATCTAAAGTGAATAATCTATGCTTCCACTTTAGAAAAGTGGAAAAAGAAGAGTAAATTAAATCCAACGTAAGTAGAAGAAAGAAATAATAAAAATTAAAGCAGAAATAAATGAAATTTAAAGCAGGAAATCAATAGAGAAAATGAACAAATCCAAAAGCTGGTTCTTTGAAAGATGAATAAAATTTATAAAACTCTAGTCTGCTTACCAAAGGAAAAAAAGAAGACAAAAATTTCTAATATCAGAAATGAAGAAGAGACATCAGTACAGATCTTATGAACATTAAAAGGATAATAAAAATACTATGAATAACTCAACACCTACAAATTTTATTATTTAGATAAAATAGAACAGAAAGGCACATGTGCCAAAACTCATACAAGAAAAAGTAGGCAATCTGAATACACCTATATCTACTAAATAATTTGAATCAAAAATTAATAACCTTTCAAAATCCAAAGCATCAAACCCAGATGGGTTCATTGATCAATTCTACCAAACATTTAAAGAAAAAAATTACAATTTCTACAATCTCTTCCAGAAGATAAAAGCAGAGGACAAACTTCCTAATTCATTCTGTGAGGCCACCATTACCCTAATACCAAAACCAAAGACATTTTACAAGAAAATAAAGGTACAGGCCAATATTTCTAATGAACAAATATGCAGAAAATCTCAACAAAATATTTGCAAATTGAATCCAATAAAAAAATTATACATCATGACCAAGTGTCATTTATCCCAGGTATGAAATGCTAGTTCATTCTATCAAAAGACTAAACAACAGCAACAAAAAGTTCATGATTATATCAATAAATGCAGGAAAAGTACATTTTAAAAAACTTGATGCCTATTCATAATTAAAACTCATGGCACACTAGAAATAGAAGAAAATTTCTCAACTAGATAAAAAAAAAACTACAAGAACCTATAACTAAAATTTTACTTCATGGTGAGAAATTAGAACGTTTCCCACTAAGATCAGGAAAAAGATGAGTATATCTCCTCTTACCATTCCTTTTCAAAGTGTTAAAACTATGCAATAAGCAAGATAATGCAGTAACACAAGAAAAGGAAATAAAAAGTATACGGATTGGGAAGAAAGATATAAAACTCTTTCATAGGTGGCAGATTTCTTTATGTTGAAAATCTGAAATAACCAACAACAGAACTCCCAAAACTCAAAAGCAATTATAGAAAGCCTTCAGATATAAGGTTAATATACAAATTAAATTGACTTTCTATATGTCAACAATAAATGGAATTTGACATTAAAACCACAATACCATCTACAGTAGTGCCAAAAATATTAAATTACTTGGCATAAATCTAGCAAAATATTACAAGATCTATATAAAAAATGAAAAACTTTGATGAAATAAATCAAAGAACCAGATAAATAGAAAGATATTCTATGTTCATGGATAGAAACACTCAATATTGTCAAGGTATCAGTTCTTCACAACTTGATCAATAGACTAAATACAGTCTCAACCAAAATCCCAGTAGTTATTTTGTGGATATCAACAAAATGATTCTAAAGTTTATATGAAGAAGCAAAAGACCCAGAATAGCCAACACAACATTGCAAATGAACAAAGTCAGAGAACTGATACTATCAGACTTTAAGACTTACTATGAAGCTACAATGCAGTATTAGCAAAAGAACAGACAAGTAGATCAATGGAAAAGAATATAGAGCCCAGAAGTAGAACCACATAAATAAAGTCAACTAAATTTTGATATAGAACCAAAGGTAACGCAATGAAGAAAGATACTCTTTTCAACAAATGTTCTGGAACAACTGAAAATCCACATGCAAAAAAAAAAAAAAAAACCCACAAAGAATTTAGACAGAGACCTTATACCCTCACAAAAATTAACTCAAAAGAAACCATAGACCTAAATGCAAAGTACACAACTATAAAACTTCCACAAGATATCATAGGAGAAAATCTACATGACCTTGAGTATGATGATGGCTTTTTAGACACAACAGCAAAGGCAAAATCTATGAAATAAAAACCCAATAAGGTGACTGCATTAAAATTAAAAATTTCTGCTCTGCTGAAGACACTGTCAAGAGCATGAGAAGACAACCACAGACTGGGAGAATATATTTTCAACAGACATATCTGATAAAAAGATTATTATCAAAAATATACAAAGAACTCTTATATTCAACAATAAAAAATCAAACAACTCAATTTAAAACATGGGCAAAAGACCTGAACAGACACTTCATCAAAGAAAACATACAGATATCAAATAAGCATATAAAAAGATGCTCCACATCATATGCCATTAGGGAACTGCAAATTAAAACAAAGAGATAGCACAACTATCTTTTAGAATGGACAAAGTCCGAAACAGTGATAGTATCAAATGAGAAGCAATAGGAACTTTCATTTATTGATGGTGAATACAGTCACTTTGGAAGACAGTTTGGTAATTTCTGACAAATTCGGTAAATTGTGACAAACACAGTCTTATTATCCAAACCACCAATTGCGCTTTTAGGTATTTACCCAAATGATTTAAAAACTTAATGGCCACCAAAAACCTACAAATGGATATTTGTAGCAGCTTTATTTGTAATTCTTAAAAGTGTTTTTTCAGGCAGAAGAAAAATATCTCAGAAAGAAACAGAGACATAGAGGAAGAAATAAACAGACACAGAAAAAAATAAATATATTGAAAAGCCCAAATGATTCCTTACTGTATGTAACAATAGTTAAAAAATTATTATTGAAGTTTTGTTGAAAATATATGTAAAATTACAATTATAAAAAATGGAATGGGTTAAATGAAGTTAAGGTGTTTTAAGATCCCGATTTTGTCTTGGACATGGTAAAATATATATTTATATCTATAGGATAATCCCTTTAAGAATATAAAAATGTACAACCAACAAGCTAACAGAGAGAGGATACTGAATAACAAAGCATTATTTTAACTACTAAGAAGGCAAAAAGGGGATAATTAAAATAGAACAAGAGGGAAAAATAGAAAAAAAGACTATAGATCTAAATCCAAATACATCAGCAATTATGTTGAATGTGAATGCACTAATTAAATATTTTAAACACCGTATTAAAACACACACACATACGGACACACACGCAGAGCCTCAAACTGCTTTCAAATGTCGCACCTTAAATATAAGAACACAGAAAAGTTGAAAGTAAGAAATGGAAAGGTATTAATTTTTTCAAAGTTTATCTGTGGATTCAATGCAGTTTTGGCCAAAATCTCAAGAGTAATTTTCCAGAAAATAGCATGATGTTTTAAAATTTATGTGTAAATGCAAAGGACTGACTCACATAACCAGATAATCAAGATTGATGACAAAGTTACATCAACTAAGACAGTAGGACGTTAGTGCAAAAACAGACAAATGGATCAACAGAATATGATAATGAAAACAGGCCTACACACATAAGATCACTATATTCATGATAAATCTGATGCTGCAGTGTAATGAGAAAGGGACTTTTTTCTATAAATGATTCTGTAATAAACAAATGTCCATATTAAAAACATGTTATAACCTCTTTCTGATATCATACTAAAAAATTGATTCCAGGCAGCTTGCAGATGTAAATGTAAAGGCAAAACAAACATCAACACAAAACACCCAGAAGAAAACAAAAGAATATCTTTGTGGCCTGGTTTAGGCAGTTTTCAGAAACAGGACATATCTAACACCGAAGGAAAAAAAAAAAAGTTGAAAATGAACTTACATTTAAATTAACAACTTCTGTTCATCAAAAGATACCACAAAGAAAGTGAAAAGGTAAACCATGCTATGGAAGAAAAGAGACAGCTCACAAAAGCAATATACAAATCGGCATATGTAAAATGCGCAATCTCATTAATCATCAGTAAATGCAAATTAAAATCACAATTAAGTGTACCACATTCCCACTAGAATGGCTGAAAATTAAAATATATGATAGCACAGGTGTTAATGAGGATGTGGGACAACTGCAGCTCTCAAACACTGCAGGTCAACTGCATAAATCAGTACAACTATTTCTGAAAACTGTTTAGCAGTATCTACATAAAATTGAACACATGCATACTTGTGACCCAGCAAACCAACAGAAAAGCATACATAAATTCACCCAACATGTCCAAAAAATGTTTATTGGGATACTGCTTGTTATAACCCAAAACGAACACAAATCAAAAGTCTATTGACAGTAGAATGCATAAATTGTGGCATATTCATACAAAGAAATCCTGTAAAACAATGAAATGAACTTCATGCAGAAACATAAAGTCCCTAAAGCCAGTGTTGAATTAAAAAAAAAAAATAGAAAAAAGTATAATTGATTCTATCTCAACGTATATCTAAAATAGATGAAATTAATCAACGGTTCTAGAATTTATAGTACTGATTACCTTCAGAGTTCCAGAGTTGTCAACTGAGGAAGTATACAAGAGGAAATTCTATTCTCATTTTGGGTTAGGGCCTACACAAGAGCACTCACACTGTTAAAATTAACCAACCTCTATACTTATGATTTGTGCACCTTTCTAAGTAAATTTTATAATTTTCTGAACAAGTATATTATAAAACTGTGACCTTGTAATTGGGCCTTCCATGACCATTTTCCTGTACTGCTAATGGTCATCATTACTGAGCACTTGCTGTATGTCAGCCACTGGCACTAGGTACTTTAGTCCGAGTTTTCTTTTCTTTTCTTTTCCTTTTCTTTTCTTTCTTTCTTTCTTTTTTTTTTTTTTTTTTTCCGAGATGGTGTTTTGCTGTTGTTGCCCAGGCTGCAATGTGATGGTGCAACCTCGGCTCATTGCAACCTCCACCTCTGGGGTTCAAGCAATTCTCCTGCCTCAGCCTCTCGAGTAGCTGGGATTACAGGTGCCCACCACCACACCTGGCTATTTTTTTGTATTTTTAGTAGAGACATGGTTTCCCCATGTTGGCCAGGCTGGTCTCGACATCAGGTGATTCACCCGCCTTGGCCTCCCAAAGGGCTGGGATTACAGGCGTGAGCCACCATGCCCAGCCTCCCGGTTTTCTTAGTTCATTATTCAAAATAAAATTGCTGCTCACGTTGTTTAGATTTCATAGATATGGAAGCTGATGCTCAGAGAAGTTAAGGGACTTACTCATGGTCATGTAACTAAAAACCTCCCTCCAAAATCACACCTTTCTGATTCCAACACTGACTCCTGTGTAATTCTGTGCCTTAGTATTCTTTAGGGATCCATTCAGAATAGTGGCCTCCCACAGCCAAATTAGAATTATGCAGGATACATTCACACTACCCCAACTGCAAAAAGGCTAACTAGTGTTTTCTCCCTGAATGCCACACCCTCCACACTGCCTGTCCTCACCTGCAAGCTTGCAGTCCTTGGTGGCTGAGACCAAGATCTGGGGAGGTGACCCTCTGTCTGATGTGTCTTGTGTCGCCATCTTCGGAACATGTGGGGCAATTCAGGGCAGAAAAAGCATGAGCTTTATTTAGGCTGACAGACAAGATGAATGGCCTTGAGCAAACCACTCAACTACCCTAAGTCTCATTTTCTGCATTTATCAAAAAGAGATTTCTTTAATTTTCCAGGGGGAGAAGGAATTAATTCTCCTGGGACATGCTAGGCATATGATCCATGTGAATTCCTTTTCTTTCCCCTCTCGACTCCCCTAGAGGAAATATATTTTATTTCTTCCCTGCCCCACACCCATTTTCCATCTTTCTCTACTCTGCCTCAGTGGACTCCCTTGCCATCTGCTCTAGGGATTGGCAGGAGATTCGCTGGCAGGAGACCAGTGAAGTCAGAGTATGCACTCCCGCAGCTGGCTGCTTGTAGAGTCACCATTGAATGGCTTATCTCTGGAGCTGGGCTCAGCTCCTGTCAGGCAGTCCTGACCGTAGTTAGAACATGTGCTCCCTCCTTCCACCTTGTTGGGCCATCCGTGGGTAAGGGTGTGCTCACTTTTTAACAGAAGTGAGGGCTGCTGTTACTGCCAGCTCCCAGTGGGAGAGTGAGACCCAATACACTCAGGCTTCTCCACTATGGAAGAAAAGAGACAGCTCACAAAAGCAATATGCACATAAGCATGTGTAAAAGGCTCAATCTCATTAATCATCAGTTCTCCTTGTGACTTTGCTTTGCCTGTGCACATCTTTCCAAATAGTCTCTCTCCCCAAATTTCTCAGTTTCCCTGTGCCATCTCTTTCTTACCATGCAGGATCCTTACTGACATAGCAGCTCACTGGGTCATTTTCTCTAGAATACAACAAGCACCTTCTATGTGAGATTACTTAGCCTAGCCAGATGACAAGTTGCCAACAAAAGAAGATTCAACTACCTTTGGGCTTCGGGCCTAAGGTAGAGGCAGAAGCTAAAAAAAAGCAGACATGATGGAATAGATGTAAAATAATCCCAGCACATACACAGCTCATTGCTTCAGGTGTGTGCATTTATTTCCCCCATAAAACACAAGGGGTTGGATGCTACCTGAAAAGCACAGGGCCATCACCCCAGGAACCTCTGAAGGTCTTTGTTTTTTGAACTATATGGCCATAAACCTTACCTCTCAAACTATATTCTGGAGGATGCATAGATATCTCCACCAGCTTTGGAGAGCTAGTTTCGCTGAAGTTTGCTTCTTTTCGGCTGCACTTCATCATGAGCATGTCTGAAAGTCAGGAGCTGAGAGGGCACTGACTGAGCCTCTCACAATCAAATCACTCCTCTCTAGGTAAGCCAGGCTGCTTTTCATTTGCTTTCTGATAACAATCAGAGTGATTACCTGAGAGGGTCTCGGGAACAGAAGTGAGGGCTGCTGTTACAGCCAGCTTCCAGTGGGAGAGTGAGACCCAATGCAAGCATTCCAGTTCTAGGGACGAAAATGGAAATGCTTCCTTCCTCTGTCTCAGCTGACAAGCTGGAAGGAAGTGGTCTGTACGTGAATGTTACAAATGAGATGGGTGACTAAGCTAAAAGCCTGAGCAGTTCACACCAAGAGGCAGGATGCTGTAGGTGTGCAAATCACAAGAGCTGCTATTTATAAGAGTGTGTTTGTGCAGGTACCTTACCCACATTATCACTGATCTTCAAAACAGCTCAGGACTCAGAATCCATTCTACAGGTGAGGGGGAGAAAGAAGGCTCAGAGACATTGGTAATAGGATCAAGGATACCCATCTAGTGAGTGGCAAAGAACAGATTTTTAAGCCAGATCTGTCTTTTCCTACTCTGATCTACTGAATCAGCACTAGGCCATGCTGTTTTGCAGGAAAAAAAGTAATTTGCCACAAAGCAAAAGGAAGCATGGCTTTGCTTGTCAAGAGCCAGCTCTGGTCTTTGGGAACTGTATAGGTTCTGCAAGAGGCTCAGCTGGCAGAAGAGGGGAGCTTATGAACTGGGAAAACATCATTTCAGCAATCATGAATCACACATATAGCTCTGTGAATTCATTCTTATCACTTCAAATCCAAAATCATACAACTGTAAAGTCCAGAGCCAAAATGCAAAAGCAGGTCTCACTTATTTTATTGCCATAGCATTTGTCTAGCATTTGTCTCCATCTAAGGTGCACGAATCCCTTCTCCCTGCACCCCTTGCCCAGGGAGCTAGGCCTAGGAGAACAGAGGAAATGTGGATATATCCCAGGCAGGGCACTGACCCTTCCCATCCAAGAAAGCCACAGGGAGGTAAGGGGTTGAAAGCAGGAGGCAAGGTGAAAGGAACCCTCTCTACTTAATGCCAGGGAAACAAGCATGAGAGCTTCAGGGGAAGACAGACCAGCCAAAATCCTCTGAAGGAAGATGTGAGCGAGGGAGGTCTCTGAGCAGGTCGACTTCACCACTGAAGTGCAAGCGAGAGGATGCTGGAGGGTGGTGGATTGTCAAGTGGCAGGGCACAGGCGCCAAGCTGGAATAGTAAACACAGTGGTGGGGAGTGGATCAGGTAATACTGGAGCATTTAGAACCAAGATCAGCCCAGGGACTGAGTGTGGAGACAGCCAATTCCCTGCCAGTCTATTATTTCTGAAGGAAGAGCTTGAATAAGTTTATTTCACCCATTTTTTTTTTGCTTGCCTCAAATTAAGGATGGGTAAAGCAGTTCTAAGGACTGCAAAGCTGTGTTGTGGGAAGCAACTCCCAATTGCAGCTTTTTTTTATGATTACTAACTATGGAATTTTCACCAAATAGAAGATATAGGTATTATTGTCACTAATATAAGAATGAAACAGAGAGACTCAAAGAAGTAAAAAGGAATGTGCTCAAGATGTCACCTCCAATAATGGCCAGACATAGGAATCCAGTCCAGACCTGGCCAGTTTTAGTGTTCTTTCCTTTGACTTATCTTGAGCACTTTCCTGGGTGCCAGGATCAGGTCACCAGCCCTACCCTGTTGCCCATGTATCTCATGGTGCCCACGGTGCCCTGCCAGTGGGATTTTCCCACCTCCTCTTAGTCAAAGCCACAACGCCCCCATCTGCAATGCATTTTCTACACTCCCTCCTCGGCTACTGTTCTGCTTTTCACCTCAGATGAGCATCAAAATAAGATTGCACCTAAACACTCACCTTGGAAGAGTGAGATGCAGAGGCTTGCCTGACTCACAACTCTTAACGGAAGTGGCTTAGAGCTTTTATACGAGAATTTTAGGAATATGTGGAAGATATGAACCAGGTTCCTGGAAAAAAGGCACATACACACATGCATACACACATGCACAAGCAATTTGGCAGATAATTTTTGGAGGTTTTCAGGCACCTCTGAGGTCTATCAAGGGACTTTGGTGAAGGAATTCCTGCCCGGGGGAGAATCCTAAAACTCTTTAGAGCACTAGTTAGTCTCAGAGTTTCCCTTAGCTTGATGCACACTTTACCTTCGGCAGAAGGAGGATATGCCTCTTGGGGAGTCTAGGGGAGGAAGGAGATATCCATAAAGGAACAGCCCAGCTTCTGAGTAAGCCTGACAGACTGATGCCCTGCCTGGCTTAGGCAACTTCAGGGGAGCAGATATCCAGCCCAACTCTGTGGTTACAAATGACCCTGTTAGCCCAGCCTACCTACAGCCACTGCAGGGGTGCACAAGCAGATACTCACCGACTGCCCTGAAGCCACTGGAGAGAAGGCAGCAGATGTGGAGGCTGAGGTACCTGATAGGCTGGTGACAGGGAAGGTCAGCACAGGTGCAGCAGCTGAGGCACAGTGGGTATGCTCTCTGGGAGGGAGAGCCAGCTGTACTGGCAGGAGTACTCACTAAGGACTCAGATAGACAAGAAAGTGAATCCCAGCACTGTCTCTCACCAGCTTTGGAACCATGTCTTTTTGAGTTTCAGTTTTCCTATCTATAAATCTATTTATAATATTTTTTTACCTTGCATGGCTGATCTGAGAATAAGAGAGTGTTTGTATGTGAGGGGTATAGCACAGTCTCTCAAACAGCACACCTGATCAAGAAACGGTCACTGATACGGATGATAATGGGTTTTCTTATTAGGAAGCAGGATGTTTTGGAGAATGCTTGGGGCTTCTTTGCATATTTCAGGGATTCTGGTTGCAAGTCAGGATTTTAGAGCAAGGGACTGATGACACAGGAGGGTTTGGTGAGCACACCAGGCAGCTTTGCAGACAGCAGGCCGCATTGCAGGAGGTGCTCCTCCCTCCTCGGCAGCTGATTGCAGAGCACCGCTTGGCTGATTGTTGTATTGAGACTGTGCACTGGGCAGGGAAGCCCTGAAACAGCCTCTTTTCTCCCCTGGGTTCTGTTTCTGATGAGCCTATCTCCATTTGCTTATGTCACCCAAGCGCATTGCCATGTGCTTTAAAACTCTACATGCATGTGCCTGATATGGTGACTGTGTTTGCATGGACTTCGGTGTTTGTGCATGAACATGTACATATGTGTATATGTGTCTGTGTATACTTATTTTAGATGTACAAGTCTCCATATGTTGGTGAATATTTTGTTTTCCTCTGAGTTTGGACACCCCTGAGCCCCTGGCAACTGTCTACTTGAATCTGCCAGCAACTGAGCTCTCCTTGGGTCACATTTGGTTGCTCACCCTAAGTAATCCAGATCTATCTAGTGCCCTATCTTGCAGATCCCAGCCATTGGCCATTGT